>NC_000010.11:81658246-81809761 GCF_000001405.40 Homo sapiens
TATGGACGTGTGTGTGTTTAGAATGAAAAATGAAATGGGGAGGCCAGAGCTAATGTTATCGAAAGGTTATGGAGTAAAGTAGTCACAGATCTAAAAGATGCTTGTGTCCCATGTGTGTTTTCTATCACTCACTTCATTTAATTATTTGGTTTTTAAGGTCATAAAATGTGTTTTCATTAGACTGATCTGAGAGATAATGCACTGTTTGTTTAATAATCCTAATACTATTTTCAGAGCATCGAAATATTATAGTTCCCTTATTTAATATTTTATTTTATACTATAGTTAATATGAACTAAGTGTTAGAAATTCTCGTCGTGAAGAACAACAGAGAAAGTGAAGAAATGCCAAAGACTAACCCACATCACGTGTGCATATCACATATCCTGGGTCTCAAAAGTGTCATTTTATATTCTCACCATTTCTAATTAGAATAATGACACATCAACAAATTTTTATCTAGGATTTAAGAGTTACATAGGCACATTTAATTTTTGTCATATCTCAGATAATCGATGCAGATTAGACTTAATGACAAAAGCTAATTGAGTACTACTTATAATTTCCAAAAATTAAAATTAAACAAAGATCATTTTGTCTTTAACTGATAAATAATAATGAAGAGTTAGAAAAATCTCTGTGAAATGAAAGCAGTGTGGGGGAGAGTGCAGGACTGTGTGTGAGCAAGTGAGGTTCACAACTGTATTTTTAACCCTATAGTGCCCATGTTTTCTGAACAGTCAATTTCAAAGGCAAATGAATGCAGAACATGAGTTATCATTTAAATGCAAAAAAGATTTTATTAGAATTTTCATCTCCCCTTTTGGGACTGTGACAAGTCTGTGATATGGATTAAAGGAAATGAAAACTCCTCCACAGAAGCCAGCCAAAAAACCTCTTTGCTTTGGAGTGTACTCATTTGGGTTACAATTTCTGTTCTGTTTCTGTTTTAACGTCACATTTGAGCTTCATCTTATTAAGTTCATTTACATTAGTATGAAAGTCAGCGTAATAATAGAATAAATTATTTTGAAATTAATCTTAAAATACTAAAGACTCTAAGGCAGTTTTGATGACTAAAGTTGATTATAATGGTTAAATATTGACAATATAGTATATTCTCCAATTATTTCTCTGAATATTGCATCTTATGATACATTTCTTGAACTTCTTGTGTTATTCTTCATGTTTAAAAAAGGATCTCTGAATAGGTAATGATTATTTTGATGTAGGCAAAGCATCAGAATACTAAAACCAATAAATAAAATAATGTGGGCAACTAAATAATATAAGTAACTAACTCAAAAATAGATGCTACATTTTATTTTTAAAAAGAGATATTAGAGAGTAAGTTTATGAATCAGAAAATAGTGAAGATACATACCATAAGTCAATCTTATAGAGATATGTAATTTAAACTATTACCACATTTAGGAATTATGCATGCCTCGTCTCC
This sequence comes from Homo sapiens, assembly GCF_000001405.40. Taxonomy (NCBI): domain Eukaryota; kingdom Metazoa; phylum Chordata; class Mammalia; order Primates; family Hominidae; genus Homo; species Homo sapiens. The sequence continues at coordinate 81,659,703 of NC_000010.11, forward strand.
ATTTTGGGAGCTGAAGATGGGTGGTAAGAGAACATTGATGTTCTTATTCCACAAGATAAATCATTATGCTTCTTCAACCATATTCAGCATGTGATTGAAGTGAAAAGCATACAACTACTGTGTAGGGAAAACCATATTGGAAAATGTAGCACATTAATTGATGAGAGAGAAGCACACAGAATTGTAATAACACAGATGATCATTGGGCATCATCAACTGAGAGAACCAAGGAAGGGTTGAAGTTTTTGTAGCTGGAAAGAGCATGGGAATTAGTCACATGAGTAATAATGCCAGGCAAAAGGTACACAGGTGGTCAGAGCTCTGCCAATTTGTCAGCTTGAAAGAGCACCACTTCCTTTAGCACATAGAATGCACGTGGGACTGTGAAAAGCCATGAAGCTCGAGATCATCAAGAGAAGCCATTCATAAAGGGCATGGGATACATATTAAAGCCTTTGAATTTGGTCTTAGCCATGATCTACAAACAGTAAAGGATTTAGGCATGAGAGTGATATAAACATGCTGCATTTGCAAATATAGCTTTCAGTAGTTTGGGAAATTTTACAGATCATTGCTGTTCAGTAGAACTTTCTATGATAATGGAAATTTCTATATCTGCACTGTTTAATATGGCAGTCCCCGACCACCTGTGGCTATTAAGCATTTGAAATGTGGCCAGTGCTACAAAAAACCCTGAATTTTTAATTTATATACTTTAATTAATTGAAATTGAAGTTGAAATACACATTTGGCTGGCAGATCCTGATTTGTACAGTGCAACTGTAGTGGTAGAGCTGACTTTACTCAAAGTTATTGATAAGAAGGCGGTTGAAGAAATCTAGATGTCCTGGTATGCGATATTATTTTGTTCTGTATTAAATCCTCATAATAAAAACTTAAGAAATGGTTTGTCTCAAGAATGGGTCTGTTTTACTATTGTCACCCTTCTCTCTAAAAAAATTCTCCATTCCTAAACCAAACCTCAGAACTCTGAGGACTGGAGGCAATGATAACAAGAAAGTGAATGTCATTACTTGGAGTATGAAATTCAGTCCAAGTATGCTTTTAACCATGCCTTGGTGGGTAAGTACCCTGGAAAGTAAACCAATAAATTAATATTCATTTTTAATTAATTTAAATATACATTGAGCACCTTACTATTTGCCAGTGTGATAGACACTGGAGATGAGGGCATGAAAAGGTCTGAACTCCATACAATCATAATCAATAAGGGAAAGCAGATACACCTACATTTAATCATAATATAGTGAATGGTATATGATGATTGGCAGTTTGAATAAGATGGTCATCTCACCAGAGATATAGAAGTGCTTAATTCTGCATGAAGGGGTTAGGAAAGAGTTGAGTCAGGAACTAACTATAAAGTTTAGAAGAAACTTTCCAAGGTGAATTCAAAGGAAGGGGAAGAGATAGTAGGTATGAGGATAGTAGGTATGCAGAAGTGCTTGGGAAAGAGAGAAACTGTGTGGAGTTGAAACAGCATAATAAAGACATTCAAGTGTGAAAATTAATTATTGTTTTAAAAACTGTATACAAGCTTCTATGCCTAGAAAGTCAGATTATGACTAAAGTTGAAGCTCAGAAGCCATGTTACACTGTGTGGAAATGATTGGGAGTTGATTTTTTTTTTCTTAAGAAATGATATAACTTGGTCAGATTTGGAGTTTTAAGGAGCGTTGAGAAATGACAAATGTTGAAGACTGAAATAGGACACACAAGCCACAAGCCCGAATATGAATGGACAGATTTTTGAGATGTTAGAGTTTTTTAAATTTTAATATTGAGGTTCATAACTAAAGCCACAAAATCCTTCCAGTCTGAGAAATGATGTCAATTTTTCTTTTTATATGTGTTTTTCTGTCTCATCAACAGCTTGGCATCCACTCACCCTGCAATGACTTAAAACACACAGCTCTCTATGCACTATGGTCTGGATAGGGCTTGAAGATTCATTAGATAAATAGGTAAGGGTGATAGAGAAAACAGGATGATTGCCAAGGTTTATGGCTAGAGACTGTGGAAGCTGATACTATTAATGAAATAGGGAAGAAGTCAGAAGAGCCAAGGCTAGGGATGGTGGAAATGGATTTTGAGCCAGTTCTGCTTCTAGCTATTCTTTATCTTTTCACTGAGTGACAGTAGGGATTACTCACCCTCTTACAAAGTACCCTGCAGCTCTGGTGAGTTTAATCTCATGAGGCGATTACCATTACTGTACATCTGTCTGGCTGGAAATCACTGTCTTTCCTATCTTAGAGCACATTCAAGCTGCAAGGAGGAAATTGTTTGGGCACACAGTAGTTTATTTGTAGAGAAAATACTTTAGCCAACCTGACAGAGCAAGTTTGGCTTACAAGTTATCTCTCCAAGTCACTTTGCTCCAGGAAACTAAGGGTAAAGCAGTTAATAGCCCATGAGTTTCTTGCAGAAATGGAAAATGCACTACAAATGGAATTTTCACAGAAGAAAGGAAGAATGAAATACATATTGAGCTGGAATCACATGCTTTGAGTGATGGTGTACCTAAATACATTGCCACATATTTTCTGTTTGCTTCTTTCACCGAACTGAAGCTACTGATAGCTGATATTTTGCAATTGGTATCTAAACTCCAGGTAATTCTGCCAGGCTTCTCTTCCTCTAACCATGTCCATAGGCCATGCATCATGGCTCCCCATGGTTTCTTTATCCCATTTGAACTTTATAACTACGTATAAATTATTCTTCTTGGTATCGACATGTAACCTTATAGGCATGAACCTTGCTTTTCACAGGCATGAAATACGATGTCCCCATGTTCAGCCAAGGTCCCAATACCTTGTTCACAAAGCCTCTAGCAGGGCAGGAGAGCTGACTGACATGGTACCATGTGCTACATAACTAACTTTGGGCCCTGGCTCACTTTTAACTGCTAAAATTTGTAATTTCTAAAATTGTAGTTCAGATTGAATACGGCAGAAATTCAACACCGAAAATGAAACTGGGGCTACATCACATGCTGGAAATGCATTCAGTGCTCTGAGGCATTTTCAAAAATATTGACTGCACTTAAAAACTAGAGCAAAAGAAAAAGACAGCTTGGAAGCCCAAAGCCATTACATTGTTCACTTTTAAAGGGAAGTGTCATTAAAAAAAAGTTGTTTAATTTAATATAAGTTTCAATGTAACATTATATGCTAATATAGGTCAAAAGCCCAAGAAAAAGCCTATAAGTGTCCAGAAAGTTTTACTAGGGAATGCTGACAGGGTATAGCCCCAGTGACCTCAAGCAATTCAGAGTATCTGCTGGTTGATTGCTGGGTGTGTCTGTGGTTTCTTTATTCTTCTTCTGTGCCCAGTGTCTTCTGCTAGATGATGCCTCTCCAGGAGCTCTGAGTTTTGCTGCTTTTATCACACTTTGCCACTAAGCACTTCTGAAAGCTCGTTCTGCTGGACGGACTCCACTCCCATATCCTATTTAGTAAAATTGAGGGCCTCACAGTGTCCAATAAACTGGTGTCCTGGAGACATAGATGTGACTGTAGATGTGTGGATATGTACTGTTGAGAAATGGTGGTCAATACCCCTTGACCTTTAAGACATCTTCTGTTCTGAGGACATGTTTGGTCCTAGTCTTAAGAGGTTTTGTTTTGTTTTGTTTTAATGAAATAGCTCTCTCTCTCTCTCTCTACTTCAGCTTCTCCTCCTATCCAGTGATCTACACCTGAGTCTACTTGGGAAACTGTTCCAAAGAGAGCTCCAAGTAGGATATAACCATTCCCACTTATACTAAATGGGACTTCTCATCAGAATATGTCCTTACTTTGCCTTCCCCTTGGATGAGGGCTCTTCCTTCGACTAGCATAAGAGGAGCTATAATGGCCCTACCTGATATGAGTCACCTGACAGAAGAGACATGCCTCACCCATCAAAGAGTTAGATTCTTTACATTCATTATCACTCATGCTAGCAAAACCATTAAAGGTTAGTATTATGTCCCAATATATCAATGAGGGGATTTGAGCATAGAGTTAAAAACTTAATTTAAGTTTCTGCTTTGAAGCTAAAGGGCCCAGTAATGGGCCCTAACTGTTCAGGTAAAAAGCAGTGAAAATGGTGACTAAGTCATCTTCCCACAGCCAAGGGCAACTTTCAATATAACTACCAGATATTTTAACTGATTATGGAATTTCAAAACTATGATTAAATATCTATGAGTACATTTTATATAATATTTTAATAGCATGTGTTAAATGTAGTCTTAACTAGTAAAAATATGATTTAGGTAATTGGACTTTGCTTGATCAAAGTAATTTTATTCCCAGATGCATTGAGATAAGCTTGCTGCCAAAATTAATCAGATGATTAAACAAAATTCTAAAAACATTCTCCAAGTGGTCATAACACCTACGCCTTCCAATATTAGTTTCCTAAGATAGTTAGAATGGAGTAGGCAGAAGTATGAGTTGGAGTACCTGCTAATTTAGTCCTCCTTGAATTCAGATTCTAGCTTTGACATTTACTGACTATATATAATTTTTTAACTTTAAGCTCAAATCCCCTCATTGATATATTGGGACATAATACTAACCTTTAAGGTTTTTGCCAGCTGAATAATAATAAATGTAAAGGACATAGCTCTTTGTCAAATAAATAGTAGCCACTCAATAAACACTATTATTTAGTGTTTATTACACTTGAAACCAAAGTACAGCATCTCACTTTTGCCTAGTTTTCACATCTTCATTCAGCATATATCCAAATGCATATGTATTCAATTTATATAATGAATCAAGCACTGAGCATTATACCAAGTACTATGTATTTTTCAGAAGATAACCTGCTGTCAAAATGAATAACAATAACAATAAAAATAGTGAGAGAGGGAGAGAAAAGGAAAAAGAGAACAGCCTATATAATATTCTATTGTTTTTCACTACAAGGTCTCAAATTTAAAATTAAATTTTCACAAAATATTATAGAGAATAGTTTTAAACCTCTATCTTAAAAATAAAGATACTAACCCTAAAAGGGGCTAGGTTACTTTCTAGGGTCATACAGCATGAAAACAACTCCAGGTAAATCTTTACTTATGGCCAGAATGGTTTCTCACACCTGTAATCCCAGCACTTTGGGAGGCAGAGGAGGGTGGATCACTTAAGGCCAGTAGTTTGAAACCAGCCTGGCCAACATGGCAAAACCCTGTCTTTACTAAAAATCCAAAAATTAGCCTGGCGTGGTGGTGCATGTCTGTAATCCCAGCTACTCAAGAGGCTGAGGCATGAGAATCTCTTGAGACCAGGAAGCAGAAGTTTCAGTGACCTGAGATTGCACCACTGCACTCCAGCCTGGGCAACAGAGTGAAACTGTCTCAAAAAAAATTCTTCTTTACTTACTACTTAAGTTATCAAATCTTTGTATGTGAAACAGAGAATAAATAATACACAGAAATACACAGATAAATATATAGCAATGTATATGCAAAAAAAAAGTATTGGGAAACAGACATTAAATGGCAATTTTATAGCCCATTTAGTAAAATTGAGGGTAATGTTGTCTTGCTACTGTGAGGTGCCATCAGATCTTCTACAACCAAGAGTTATGCATTCCCCATGTTCAAGTGATTATAGCAAATAATTAGTTGTGAGTTTGGTATTTATACATGCTTTAACTGTAAAGGACTCTGGCAAGGTTTTCAAGAACATGGCACTGTCTTTTTTGTTCATTTCTTCACTTGGGATTTACAACTGAGAGATATATGTGTGAATTACTAAAAATTCACCCTTCCTGCTATAACTAATAACATACTGATATCATGGAGGCCAAAAATTACACTAAAAAAAAGTATTAAGTAGTTGTATTTAGTCTTGGATCTAAAACTTAGGGAGGACCTTAGGGACAGCAAGCATACTGCAAATCGTAGTTTACCATTCCAACTGAACTGAAATGATGCCTTTTAATATAATACCAGGTCAGGAACTTTTCAGAAAAATTAGGATTTCTAGGCAGGGTTTTATACATTTCTGACTCATATACAGTAAATAATCACTTATTAATGCCTGCTAACTCAGAGAAGCATGATGATGATGCAAGGAGCCTTTGAAGGAGCTTAAGGATGCACTTCTTGATTAAAGCTAGATGTTACTGGAGAGAGAAAATGAAGAAGGCAGAGAAGGAGGAATAAGAGAGGGGAGGAAAGAATGGAAGAGAGAGAGAAAGAGAGGGGAGGAAAGAATGGAAGAGAGAGAGAGAAGAAGAAGAAAGAAAGCTTCCTAAGGCTTGCTGTTGTCTTCAGTATAAGAAGCTGGCCACAGTGAAAAGGTTATTTTTACAGAGTCAGTGACAGTGTAAAAAAGTAATAAATCTCAACATTCTTGTCGACTGCCAGAATAGCGAGAATGTTCCCCATTTCCTCTTCCCAGGCCACTGTGCCATAGAAATGGAGACAGAGTATTGGAAAGGCAGTGGGGAAAGAGTGACATAAACTAGACATAAGTTTTTCTCCAGGAATCCATTCATCTTCTGTCAAAGATTGGAAAGGGAAGGACAAGCAATGGTGCCATCATGCAACTTAGTCCTCATCATAAATTATCATTCTTTATGACAGGAAGCTGAACAGAAAGGAAAAACTGTGAAGTTTGCAGTTTGTTGCTGAAACATTTACATGCTCATTTGTCTCTCTTCTTATCTTCTGTTTTATAAAGGAGTCTAGTCAGTCAGGGCATGGATAGCTATAGGCAGGGAGAGGGTGAATCCTAAAATTGGACTCTAGCTGAAGACAGAACATGGAGTGATGGAGGATAAAGGAGGGTGGTGGCAAAAACAGAAGAGTAGTTGTCTTGAAGGTGAACACAGCATCCAAAATGAGCACCATCCATAAATCATAGTACAGGTAAGACGTTGGTATCAGGGACCCAGACAAAGTGATGAAGGGTCCCAGAGAGAGAACACAGCACAAGACGGGGGAAAGAGGGGGATGCTTGAATTGTGGGCAGCCATCACTGTTTGTCAGTGGCAGGACCCAAGACACAAGCTGTGATTTCACACTCTGGTAGAGACAAAATGAAACAATTGGCCAGTGAGAAGCCAGGTGCTGTCCTTGGTAATGGATACACTGCCAAGATCAGCAATCAGCCCGTGGGGGCAAGAAAAAACCCAGGACTTGAAATTAGCTGCACAAATGTGATTGAGCCACAGATGTGAGAAGTGGAGCTGCCTGAGTGCCCCCTGTAAGATGTAAGGGTGCAAGTTGGTGGCACCCACTGCCCCTGGAGGGTAGTGTATGGACAAGTATGAGGTATCATATCAGGTTGTGTGGTCTGGTATACTAGGGAACCCAGTAAGGATTTGCTAAACTGAACAGACAAAACTGCAACAGGATACAGCAAATCTGAGGGGTGCAAAAAGGATAGAAAGGTCAAATGAGGCCAGGAGTGGTGGCTCACACCTGTAATCCCAACACTTTGGGAGGCTGAGGTGGGTGGATCATGAGGTCAGGAGTTCAAGACCAGCCTGGCCAAGATGGTGAAACCCCATCTCTACTAAAAATACAAAAATTAGCCGGGCGTGGTGGCGGGTGGGCGCCTGTAATCCCAGCACTTTGGGAGGCCAAAGTGGGTGGATTGCGAGGTCAGGAGTTCAAGCCCAGCCTGGCCAAAATGGTGAAACCCCGTTTCTACTAAAAATACAAAAATTAGCTGGGTGTGATGGTGGCCGCCTGTAATCCCAGGTACTTGGGAGGCTGAGGCAGAGAATTGCTTGAACCCAGGAGGCGGAGGTTGCAGTGAGCCAAGATCACACCACTGCACTCCAGCCTGGGCGACAGAGCGAGACTCTGTCTAAAAAAAAAAAAAAGGTAAAATTAATGTGTTTCACAATTAATAATAGGCAATGAAGTAGGACAGGATGAGTTTCGAGGAGTGGGACAGCAGAGATTGTTGCCTTTTATAGGGTACTCGAACTGCAGCCTAGGGTGGAACAGATGGTTAAAAGAACCACTTATGGCTAAAGAGGAGGTGCTTCATGCTGGATAGGTCCTACAAGCTGTAGTTTTAGGCAAAGGGAAAGAGAAGAGAGAGCTGTGAAGAGGGAACTGATGCCACCAAATCCAGCAGAGCCCACTATTCCTCTGCCTATTAGGTGCCTAATCACACTTTCCTGTCTTTAATTTCCCAGTCCTGGGGCTGGGGCCTCGAACAGAGATCTGGATGGGAGACACAAGACTCACGACAAAAGTGATGCTCAGGGCAGTAACCAAAGTGATGCTCAGGGCAGTAACCAAAGTCTCTGAGACACATTAGTCCATTTAGCAAATAAATACGAATAACTACTTCACAGGTTTATGTCTGAGATTAGCATCTGTGAACATCACTGTAAAACTTAAATGACTATATGGATGTACTGTTTCTGTCAGATAATTTTTCTGAGGAGTCAGGCACTTGCAGCCCCAGTTCCAGGAAGACACAAGAAGGTGACATTTGGGAATCCTTCCATTTTGAGAAGCCGGCCCTTTCCACGTGAGAAACAGTGCCACGTCTGACAGATGTAAAGGAAGACGATCTGACAGCCTTTGAGGTCTCACATGCTTCTTTGCAAACTGCTGTAGTGTAGGCGCTGGTGTCATTGAGCCGTCCTAAGATGGCAGGGAGCAGAGACCCTCTCAATGTGCTGGCATGCCTCCTTGCTACCAAAGCCCACACAACTCATAGGAGCTAAGAAAGAAAGCCAGAAATCAAGGTGAACTCACAGATATGAAAAGCAGCAAACTGAAAAGAGAAATCTTGTCTCTCCAGCACTGTGAAAAAATGCAATTTGTTTGTTTTACTCAGATTTTTTTAAGCCAGGTGATCTGCAGGAGATGCCCTAGAGCAAGGCTTCACAAGACAGCCAAATGCAATTGCTTGCATCATAACAGAAAAAAATTCTGGTACTCCCAAGGACAATGAGTCATAATCAGTTTGTGAAAAACTGAGAAAAAAAAAAGGTTTTCCTTCATTTGAGGTTTTAAGAAAGTTTTTAGATCAGAGCTTCTTAAACTTCAATGTGCATCCAGATCGCCTGGGACCTTATTCAGATGTTGATTCATATTCAGCAGGTCTGGGAGGTGGGTGGGGGATGAGATTCAGCATTTCAACAAGCTCCCAGGTGATACCAGTGCTGCTGCTTCACTGACTTTATGCTGAGTTGGAAGGTACTAGACAATTAGAATTGTGGGTTTGAAAATAACTATTATGATGTATACATATAAATGAAAGATTGATGTGAAGGAAAAATAAGCTACCCTCATATAAAATGAGAGGATTTTGATATCAAAATGTTTTGAAAATGTTTGATGTTCTCTAACACATGCTCTCCTTTGCAAGTATTTACAACTCATTTGTGAAATCAAAATATGTATACCACAAACACATAAGCATATGAATGGTGTAGAATTAGAAAAATTGTATACGTGCGATATAATTAGTATAATTTACTGGGCTACCTTTTTCTTCAGTACCCTCATCTGCTAAAGGGACAAAACAACAGAACTCTTGTTTGCATTAAAATAATACTTAAACATCTGTGAGTTATTGCCACATATAATAAACTCTCAATAAATATCCAGTATCAATAATAGTAGTAAGGAATTGATAGCAACAGGAAGCAGACAAATCCTAGGCAGACAGGGGCAGGTCTCCAGTGAAACCCCACCTTCAAGCCAAAAACAGCCTGAAGCCTGAAGACCAGGCTGCTGGTTCCTGATGAAGCCTGTGACCCCAAGTGAGAACTTTTGTTTCCATTCGCACGCTATTTCCACATTGGTTCTTTATGAATAATGCTTTTAAACCCATTGAATGTTGCCTTTTCCAGTGCTACCTGTGGTTCACACCTCCCCCATTCTGTGTCCATTAAAAACCCTGAACTCAGCCATACTTGGGGACTACTCAATTTCAGATAGGGGGCTGCCCACTTTGGGCCCCCTCTCCACTAAGAACTGTTCCATCATTCAATAAACTCTTTGCCTTGCTCACCCTCTGGTTGTAAGCATAACCTTATTCTTCTTGAACACGGGACAAGAACCCAGGACCCACCAAACATGGGTACAAAAAAGGCTATAACATTGTAGTCCTCTGCCCTCCAATAGTGCTGGGTGGTTACCCCACACCAACAGGAAACAGCAAATAGGCTGGGCCAGCACAAGAGCCATGGGCGAGAGCAGAGTGGAGGGACTGAATGAGCTGTAACCCAAATGACTAAAACATGCCCTGCCCTCATTCACTGGGCTGCACGTGGCAGGAAGGAGAGAAGAGCTATGACCCTTGGGGATCCCCAAGCCAGAGCTGTGACACACTGTAATACCCTCTTTGAGGTTCTGTGGTTTCTGGAGTCTCCAAGTTTTTCAGGTGCCACCGTGTTTCTCTCATCCACACACCAGCACCCAAGGTGGAAGCAGGTTGTGGTATGCCTAGCCCAGCCACGGGCTGGGCAGTCGAAGGGGGCCAAGTGGGCAGGGTACCTTCAGTTGCATGCCTGGAGCTGAGCAAGGCCCTGGGGAGGGGCATGGCTGGCCATAGGGTCTCTGGCTGGAGAAGCGGCACTGAAAAAATCCTGCATCAGAATGGACGGACTTTGAGAGAGTTTCTCATATAAAGCCTTCTCAATTCTGTTTAATCTTATAATTTTCTGATAAAAAATCAATAATTGTCTTTTTTAATTTTGGGAAATAAGAAGATTGTTGAACAAAATTTTATAATTCATGGGTTCTTTGTTTTTTGTTTTTTTGTTTTTTTTGAGACAGAGTCTTGCTCTGTCACCCAGGCTGGAGTGCAGTGGTGAGATCTCGGCTCACTGCAATCCCCGCCTCCCAGGTTCAAGTGATTCTCCTGCCTCAGTCTTCAGAGCAGCCCGAGCAGCTGGGACTATAGGCCCGCACCACCACGCCCAGCTAATTTTTGTATTTTTAGTACAGACAGGATTTCACCATATTGGCCAGGCCAGTCTTGAACTCCTGACCTCATGATCCACCCACCTCGGCCTCCCAAAGTGCTGAGTGAAATCTATGTTTAATCCAATTAAGAAGAGACATACATTCTCAACACTGCTCTTTGTGAATATCCATGCAATGTTTAAGTCACAGAATATTTATATATATATATGTATGTTATATGTGTGTGTGTATTCAAATTTTAGGTTATAATGCATATATTGTATCTTCACATTGTCACTAAAATATAGTAAAAATCTCTCATACTATAAAATAAACATTTGTATTATCAATTTCAGTGGTTCCATTCAATACCTATACCATAATTTATTTAAGTGTTCACTGATTACTTTTACTAGATGTTTAAGGTTGTACTCTTTTTTAATATTAAAATATCATTAGAATGCCCTTCCTTGCAAACAAAATGTGAGCATACTTGTGGTTTTGTTATGAATTCAGAAACAAAAATTGTTAGAATAAAGGGTATGCAGCCTGGCACAGTGGCTCACGCCTGTAATCCCAGCACTTTGGGAGACTGAGGCGGGTGAATGACAAGGTCAGGAGATTGAGACCATCCTAGCTAACACGGTGAAACCCCGTCTGTACTAAAAAAATACAAAAAATTAGCCAGGCGTGGTGGCATGCGCCTGTAGTCCCAGCTACTCAGGAGGCTGAGGCAGGAGAATGGCGTGAACCCAGGAGGTGGAGCTTGCAGTGAGCTGAGATTGCGCCACTGCACTCCAGCCTGCCACCCTGGGCAGCAGAGCAAGACTCTGTCTCAAAAAAAAAAAAAAAAAAAAAAAAAAAAAAAAAAAAAAGGGTATGCATGCTTTTAAAGGCTTTTGGTACTTATTTCCAAAAAAAAAAAAAAAAAAGGAGGGTAGGCATGCTTTTAAAGGCTTTTGGTAATTATTTCCAAATTAGCCTACACAGGCAGTGGGTTGATGAATGCAAAGCATGGGTATGTGGTGGTGGGAAAAGCGGGGAGGAAAGGGCAGTCTGAGGGGAAACTGGGAGCCCAGACCATAAACCGTCTGGAAGTGATGATGAGCGGTTAAATGTTCACCATGAGTGAGGTGGGTGGCAAAGAAGATTTGGAAGACATGATTTGACTTAAGTTTTAAAAGAACTGAGAGCAGAAGCAGGAAGAACTGGAAGGAGGAGGAGTAATAGGACCGCAAAAGGAGGCCCCTCTAGCTGAGAAAGAGCCAGGCCTATAGGGTGAGAAGGTGGGGAGAGGTCAGATTCTGGATATAATACAAAGATAATGAAAACAGGCTTCCTGAATGTGAAAAAAAAAAGTTTAAAATTACATCAAGATTTTTGGCCTAAAAGAATGGGAAGAAAGATGTGTCATTTTCTGAGTTGAGTGGAACAGGTTTACTTAAGAAAAGCACATCCTTTCACTTTGGCCAAGTCTAGTTTGAGGTGTCTTTGAGACACTAAGTAGGCAGTTGAACAAACAAGACTGGGATTCTGTAGTTGTTAGTTTGCCAAGATTTTCAATTGTTTCCTTAGTCATGACCACTGTTTTTCCTAAAGTGCTACTTTTCTAAGTAACAATTATTTTTTACTAATATAGATGCATACACAGAATTTTCTTTTGATTCTTGGTATAATCAGATCTTATAAGATTGCAGCTTTCTTTTCTTCTTTTTTCTTGATTAAGCTAGTTAACAATTAGATATGTTCTTCTTTGTTTTCATAAGTAAGTCTAGATACTATTTAATTTATACCATTTTCTGTTTAAAAATTCCATAACTTTTGCTTTATATTTATTGATTGTTCTGTTTTGTTTCTTTGTGTTCTCTTATTCTTTGGCTAACTTTTAACATTGAATATTTAGTTGATTTATTTTTATTGTTTGTGTTTACTAGCAAAATTATCTAACTTTGTAAATTTGTGCCCAGTAAAAGCTTTAGCAAGAACCCAGGCATTTTTTTTTTTTTTTAGTGCGTATGGTTCTTATCATTGAATTTGGTAGGTTTTTTTTTTTAATTGCTAGGTCTGGTTTATCCTTTGACTCAACATTTATTTAAGATATTGTTTGTTCTTGACAAATGTACAAGTCATTTGAGTTTTATGCTATATTTTGTTATTAATTTCTCTTTCTCCTGAGCAATGATGTGTAGATTATAAAAATTCTGCATTGGTCAGGTGCGGTGGCTCACACCTGTAATCCCAGCACTTTGGGAGGCCAAAGCAGGTGGATCACGAGGTCAGGAGTTCAAGACCAGCCCAGCCAACATAGTGAAACCCTGTCTCTGCTAAAACTACACAAATTAGCTGGGTGTGGTGGCAGGCGCCTGTAGTCCCAGCTACTTGGGAGGCTGAGGTAGGAGAATCGCTTGAACCTGGGAGTCAGAGGTTGCAGTGAGCTGAGATCACGCCACCGCACTACAGCCTGGGTGACACAGTGGGACTCTGTCTCAAAAAAAAATTCTGCATTTGTCAATGCTAAGTTTTATGTATTTTGGGTGTACCTTGACAAGAAGGCAACAACAGCTGATGTAGGATCAGATACAACACTATGCATTATATCAACCTCATTAATTTTATCCTGAAAATAAAGGAGCTTCTTTTTTTGGTCCAAATGGAGACCTTTTTTAATCTACCAGGAGTTATTAAATATCCTTAGCCTCACTCTCTCTTGTGTTGTCAGCTTCACTCCAGTGCTGATGAACTCAGGGATCTCATCCCTTTGATGTCTTTTCAACTGCAGGATCTTTCTTCCTCATTTTATTGCCTAAGAAGCATAACCTTAAAATGCTCTACAAGGATATTGGCACTTAGCAATACTACAGGAGATCAAACCTAACAAATCTAACACCAAACTTACTCTTGAATTATCTTTCTTCCAGGAAGGTTTGTTCCTGCTTCTCTACTGAGCTTCGGTTACATGTGCATTGACAACGCTCTTCAGACAGCTTGAGCTCTGGCCCTTTAACTCTGGCTCCCCTAAACCTGGGTCTTCCTCTTGTGTTGATAGCCTAGTAAAAACACTCATAAGATTAGCAGAGCTGTGTTAGAGAGAGCACACTGCTCAGATTCTAGTTTGCTACATCCATGGGCATCTCTGTTTCAGGAAGTAGAAAGTAAGTGGGTGTATTCGTTTGTTCCTGCGTTGCTATACAGAACTACCTGAGACTGGATAATTTATAAAGAAAAGAAGTTTAATGTACTCACAGTTTCACAGGCTGTACAGGAAGCATGGCTGAGAAGGCCTCAGGAAACTTAGAATCATGGCAGAAGGACAAGAGGAAGGAGGCATATCTTAAATGGCTGGAGCAGGAGGAAAGAGGGAAGGGGAGATGCTACACACTTTTAAACAATCAGATCTCATGAGAACTCACCCACTATCATGAGAACAGCAAGGGGAAATCTGCTTCCATGATCCAATCACCTCCTATCATGCTCCTCCTCCAACACTGGGGATTGCAATTCACCATGAGATTTAGGTAGGGACACAAATCCAAACCATATCAGTGGGGATTGGTCATTTCCATTGGGATAGAGAGAATAGGATTTTTGAAACTTCTGTGGAAATCATTATTTAACCTTGAAGTACTACACATGTTGGTAATGAGACACATCAATTGACAAGAGATAGTAGTTCTAGGATATTATGGAAGGGGGCAACATGTAAATAGAGAAATAAGGGAAAAATCAAGTTGTGTGTTTAAAATAAAAATCAGGTTAAATTGGAAAATGAGGCTACATGGAAAGGAGGTATTTCAATGGTTCTTGTTGTTCAGTATTATTTCAATTCTTTCTTTCAACAATCATTTTATTTTTGGTTTTCTACATGCCAGACATTATGCTATGAGACTTGCAGTAAATAAAAATAAAACATAAAATTGCAGTTGAATATGATAATGTATTTATGCATAATAAACACTTAAATGGTTATTTTTATTATAATTATTTTTTGGGACTATATATATATTTGCAAGATAATAAATTATTTTCAGCATATGGTAAAATAGTATGAGAAAGAAAATCAAAAAGCTTTTGTGGAAAAGGTGTACTTTGAGTTGTAATTTAAAAGAAGGGCACGACTAGTCTATACTTTACACCTAGCATATTTGCATTGAGTAGAACCATCCCTGGCTTCTCTTGCTGATTTCCTGAGTAGACCCTGTACCAGTCAATCAAGCTCACTGCTTTGCTGCCCTTTGTCTCACTGAGATGGGGCCTCTTGTTATTCAATCTACTCTGTTGGCAATTTATTCTTTGAAATGAATGATGAGTGAATGAAACCCCTATCAACACATCAACAATAAAAACTACCCCTGCCCTGGATTTTAAATAGAAACATTTTAATGAAGGGAAATTAAGAAGATTCAGGTGGCATTTTAAAATAAAATGAAAACCCAATCAAATAAGGATCATACCCAAGCAAAAAACGTCGTGCATCATGGTCTTTTATAGGCAGTTAGTGACTAGCTGGAGGAGACTGAAGGCATCACACACCATATGGCGGATAAATATGGCTTACTTTTAAAATTGCATTTGTGTCACACAATTAAACGTTAAAACTATGCACTCCTAAAGATTCAACTGCAAAACTTGAAGTTTTTGCAAGGTTCATTGTAACCCTTTAGAGATGTTTGGACATAAAATCTATCATTAGAAGCAGAATATCCAAGTAACATGATTCCAAGAAACTATTTTTAAAAAGGTGTAAAAAAATCTTGCAATTCAATGCACAGAGCAGCTCAAATAATAATATTTAACCCAACATACCCCTTCCCAATCAGCAGAAGGCAGCCACGACTATATTTTCCTGGATCCCAGCAAAAGGAAAAAGAGCTTGGGAGCTGATATTTCCCAAGAGGGCGTCAAATGGAGTCGAATTGCTGTGAGGCTGACCCTTGTATTCAGAGCATCTGAGGAGGAGTTTCAGCAGAATTGAGGTCAAGCAGGTGTGTTTAGACATCATTTTGCTGCTGAAGCAAAACCCTAGATTGACTAAATCAGTGCAATGAATCTGGCTTCCAATAGAAATCATAACAAACTTCCAGCTCAAATAGAAAAATTAGCATTTGGTTTCTATACCTTACCCTAATTGAATTTGAAAAAAAGAAAAATCAAATAATATTATTTGTTCTTGCTTTAAGAAAAACTTCTCGGCCAGGCATGGTGGCTCATGCCTGTAATCTCAGCACTTTAGGAGGCTGAGGCGGGCAGATCACCTGAGGTCAGTAGTTCGAGACCAGCCTCAACATGGTGAAACCCCATCTCTACTAAAAAAAATTTAAAAAATAGCTAGGCGTGGTGGTGGGCGCCTGTAATCCCAGCTACTTAGGAGGCTGAGGAAGGGAGAATTGCTTGAACCAGGGAGGCGGGGGTCGCAGTGAGCCGAGATCCCACCACTGCACTCCAGCCTGGGCAACAGCGCGAGACTCCGTCTCAAAAAAAAAAAATTATCTTTCATGTTTCTTTGTCTCATATCAAGAAAGAGAAAATAACTGAAGACTGTAAAGATCACCACTTATCAATAGTGCCAAAGCAGAAGGCTGGAGAAAAGCTCACAGATGTGGTGGCCTTCACTTGCTGCTCCCACTGCCATCTGTAAATGCCTGCAGTCAAGTCCCTGCCTCAGAGGGCTGTTCTATAGACTAAAGGAGTTAATATGTATATAGGGCACTTATAACAGTGTCTAGAACATAATAAGCAATATATGTGCTTGTTGGGTTTTTTTCGTAATTATCATTATTATAGTGATGTTTTTAAATTTTTGGTAGAATGGAAGTGTGATCCAGAGAGTCCAGGGTAATGGGCAATTCAAATAACATTTAATAATACTTCTCATGTGATGAACATTTAATATGTGCTAAGGGCTTTATGTAAAGTTTCTCACTCAATTTTCACAATAACCCTATGTGGTGAATATTATTGTTATCCCAATTTTATAGTTTGGAAGTCTGAGACTTAGAAAGATTAAATAAATTGCTCAGGAGATCACACAGCTGAAAAGTGGTTGCATCAGCACATTCTCCAGGCAATCTGATTGAAGCAGCTGCTCTTAATAACTAAAGTAAAAGTTCAAAACAAACTAACAAAAGCAGGATTTATAATGGCCAAGATAAAAATGTAAATTCAGTGTAATCTAAATTTGACATAGTTTTGCATAGCATACCAAACACATATCATATGACACAGTCATCTATGCCACCTACATGGCAAATGTACAAAGATGACAAATATATGCATACTACATAAAGATTTCTTCATTTATTTGGGAATAAAATAGCAATCAATAATATTGAAAAGATCTCAGAGAATCTTTTTGTATTTTAAGATTTAAGTACTTATGTCCAAAGTCTGGAGGGAATAAGGGCCC
Organism: Homo sapiens; assembly: GCF_000001405.40. Lineage (NCBI taxonomy): Eukaryota > Metazoa > Chordata > Mammalia > Primates > Hominidae > Homo > Homo sapiens. The sequence continues at coordinate 81,677,012 of NC_000010.11, forward strand.
CTTAACTGTTCTTTTCCTTAGTACGTGTCTGTATTAGTTAGGGTTCTCTGGAGGGACAGAACTAGTAACATATATATATACATAAAGGGGAGCTTATTAAGTATTAATTCACACAATCACAAGGTTCCACAATAGACTGTCTGCAAGCTGAGGAGCAAAGAGAGCAGTTTGAGTCCCAAAACTAAAGAACTTGGAGTCTGATGTTCAAGGGCAGGAAGCATCCAGCACGGGAAAGAAATGTAGGCTGGGAGGCTAGGCCAGTCTAGTCTTTTCACATTTTTCCAGGATTCTCACTAATCCCTAGCCACAGCCCAGACTCTGGTTTAGCTTCTTACTTCCCTTTCTTGCTCTAGTCCCTAACCAAACTAAATAAAATTACACATTTCATCATACATCATAAGTAGGGCCACTACTAAAATTCAGGAGGTTTCTGTAAAACCTGATAGCTTGTACATTTTTAACTATAAAAAGACAGCGAGACTCCGTCTCAAAACAACAACAACAAAAAAGATGGCAAATCTGTTATTGAGACTAAAAAGTTCAAGGACCCTTTCATTCCTCCCACTTCTTGAGTTTAAAGCCTCAGAGACAAAGTAACATCAGGGTACTATCCCAAAAATATTCTCTGATTTCAGCTGTCATCATGTAACTTCCTGGATCCCTTCAATTTGAATTTCAAATGCAGCATTACTGAATTCTCAAGGGCTTAAAGACATATTATTTTTTTCCTGTGGTGACTTATGACCAATAGTACCAAAGGATAAGCTTTCTCAGCTGGCAGGGTGAAGGTGTTATTTAGAATCATAGACTTTCCCATAGTTAGATTAAGAAGGAATCTTGTAAAACAGTGTAATTAAAATTATGGCTCATGGTTATCCATACCAGAATTCAGATAGAGCAATAAATATTATTGGGCTCCATCTAAAACTTGAAAAAAAATATATAGAAGTTATGGGCATCTATATTTGAAAATGTTCCCCGTTAACATTTAATAGTGAAAATCTTCAAACCACTGTCATAAGTCATCTCACACTACAGATGATAGCTGAGCATCTGTGTACAAACACATGTACATATCTAAACATATAAGTATATATGTTATATATAGATTCCACATTTTAAAAATTTATGACTATGAATATTACTGTGTTATTTTTAATGTGCTCTGCATTAGAATGATCTGATGTTTTTCTAGGTTGTTTGTAATGTCCCAGACCCTAATCTTGAACTGAAAGTTCAGGAGATGTGATTTTCGTTGCCAGCTTTACCACTCGCTATTTGAATAATACCAGATCTCAGTGTCCTCATTCTAAAATGAAGGACTGGCTATCTTTGAAAACCATTTCAGTCCCAAAATTAAATAACTGTATTGAACACTGATTTGAAACTGGGGAACTATGTGGTTAAGAGACAGATTGTAAGACAAATGGCAGCCATCCAGTCATGTGCTCTCAACAGAACACTAAGAAAAAATTACAGTCTCATCTGCCTAATTAATTCTTCAGTTAAATTAAAAATTATATTTGATTAGGTTTGCAAAGGGCACTGACACTAGGCTTACCAGTGGCTCTAAATGCATGGTCTCCAAATGCCAGAAAGGAAAAAAGTCCCTTATACTGGGATCAGAGTTTCTCCAAGCAGAGAAGTTTAATGCTAATGCGGATTTTGGTTCCAGAAAAATATATTGAATTCAAAAATATGGACTGCACAAATTTCATATGGTAGAAAGACAGCTTAATTCTAATCAGATGCAATAGTCAGGGAAGGTAAGTGATTGAGAATGACAGGTAAACCACAATTGTGTAATGATTTGTTCTTCTATAAAGCTGAGGAATCCTTTAGGGTTGCATAGGCATGCTAAAGAAGTCCATTAAGCTACCACAAAGGAAATGGATTGAAATAGGATTCTTCTAAGATTGTTTATGTGGATGCTTAGGAGATTTGAATTATTTCTCATGGTAGTTGTTCTCAGCAAGTCAATAAATTGGAATGAAGATATATAGTTGACATCTAATACCTTTTTCCATCTCATATTTATGTATAACAACAGATTTTCATCTTTTAGATGTGTCAAATTAAGGGTGAAAATGGATTGAAATATCATATATTGGACACAGGGGTCAGAAACAGGACAGAAAAGTCACACCAAGAACGCCAGGCATTTTGTGTGATGGTAACAGTACATGAACAAAAGCCAGATTTGGAACGTGAGTCAGGAGTGTATGAGCTCACATTTATTGTTCAATAATACAGATGCATGCTGCTAAAGAAATTTTGGCATTGAAATGGAAATAAAAAGTAGTAATAAAAATATCCATGACATGTGAGGGGCTTTTAGGTGCATGAGGCACTTTTCTGCATGTGCTGATGGATTTAAGGTGTGTTCAAACACAAAGGCTGGTCAGATACTGCAATCACAAGATGCAGGGAAAGATTGGATTTCATGAAACTAACCAAATTTGGGGCTCTGGTAACGTTTGCTCAGCACCTGGTTGCTGCCTCAGCAAAAAACCAGCTGGCAGCTGTTTTTTGATTAGTTTTGTTTTATAAAGCTTTGTTATTTATTGTCCAAATGCTCCTCATGAATTTCCAGAAGCAGAAACATTCAGACCAGTAAAGATTGAGGTGGTTTGTTTGGGTTAATGAGAAATGCTGCCTTCATATAAGTTTCCTGTTATTCTCCCTCATATTATTTTCCAAGTGGTATGAACTAAAGGTCTCCCCCTGATGGCTTCTCCATCTGAAGATGTTCAGTGAGGAAATTCAATATGTCCAAATAGTCAAAATACCATCATACTTTATGTCCTAAACTCAAACTGTTCATCTGTGCTCATGAACGTATCAGCTCAGAGTGGGATATTAGCATCACTGTTCACCCCCAGGCAGAGGAAATGCTGACCATTTCCATAAAACACACTCCAAGACCACATCCAAGCCCCCACTGGGATTTTTTCCTGATATGAATAAGGGCACATTTGGAATTTCAAGTGGAGCAGAGCACTTGAATTCAAACCAGGTCTAACTGGCAAATGATTTTAGGTAAAGTAATAGTTTGAAATACTTTCTCTAAAACTATTTAAAATACTCACACCTGGCTTGGATCTCAAGAATATTATACAGTGAACATAATGTCTACAACAGTATTTAGCAGGATCTGATGGCTGTGGAATGTTCTTAGAGGGGTTACTATTCAGCCGCGAGGGGCAGGAGGGTAGAGGGAGCAGTTTTCCTGGTTTATAGTGGTGGTCAATTCTTACAATGTGTGGGCAATCTGAAGCATTTTGTATCGGGTACCTAATTATACTTTTGTAGCCACCCAATGGGTTCACCTTGACCACCGCCTAGACAGAGCCAATTTCTCAAGTCAGGGAAATTCCAGTAGAGAAAGAGTAGTTCATGCAGAGCTGGCTGTGTGGGAGACTGGAGTTTTATTATTACTCAAATCAGTCTCCCTCAGCATTTGGGGAGCAGAGTTTTTAAGGACAACTTGGCAGGTGTGGGGAAGCCAGTGTGTGGGGAAGCCAGTGATCCAGGAGTGCTGATTGGTCAGAGATGAAATCATAGGCAGTCGAAGCTGTCTTCTTGCCCTGAGTCATTTCCTGGGTGGGGGCCACTAAATCAGATGAGCCAGTTTATCAGTCTGGGTGGTGCCAGCTGATCCATCAAATGCAGGATCTGCAAAATATCTCAAGCACTTATCTTAGGGGCAGTTTAGTGAGGGTCAGAATCTTGTAGCCTCCAGCTGCATCACTCCTAAACCATAATTTCTAATCTTGTGGCTAATTTGTTAGTCCTACAAAGGCAATATAGTCCCTAGGCAAGAAGGCGGTCTGCTTTGGGAAAGGGCTGTTATCATCTTTGTTTTAAACTACAAACCAAATTTCCCCAAAGTTAGTGCAGCCTAAGCCCAGGAATGAACACAGACAGCTTAGAGGTTAGAAGCAAGATGTAGTTGGTTAAGTTAGATCTCTTTCACTGTCTCAGTCATAATTTTGCAAAGGCGGTTTTAATCTGGCAGCAACTTGACAAAGTAGGTATTGTTGATTCCTCTGAATACACAGAAAAGGAAAAAAAAAAGATAAATCATCTTTCCAAAGTCTTGCAGTATGTGAACGGGACCAGTATTTCCACTAAAGGGGATGCAGTTTGTAAAATTCTTCCACTAAACCGTAAGTCTTTATTTTGACCCTATTCACAATCCACAGGCTCTATCTTTATATTATTATTATTGTTGTTGTTAAGGTGGTCCTCAATAGTCAAAATGTTACCAGAAAGGGGTCCTGATCCAGACCCCAAAAAGGGGTTCTTAGACTTCACACAAGAAAGAAGTCGGGGTGAATCCATAAAGTGAAAGCAACCTTATTAGAGAAATAAAGAAACAGAAGAATGGCTAGTCCATAGACAGAGCAGCAACTTGGGCTACTCAACTGATAATACTTACAGTTATTTCTTGATTATATACTAAACAAAGTATGGATTATTCATGAGTTTTCTGGGAAAGGGGTGGGCAATTTCCGGAACTGTGGTTCCCCCCGTTTTTAGACCAAATCGGGTAACTTCCTGACATTGCCATGGCTTTTGTAAACTGTCCTGGCACCTGTGGGAGTGTCTTTCAGCATGCTAATGCATTATAATTAGCATATAATGAAGACTGAAGACGGCCAGAGGTCACTTTCATCACCATCTTGGTTTTGTTGGGTTTTGGCTGGTTTCTTTACCACCTTTTTATTAGCAAGGTCTTTGTGATTGGTACCTGGTGCTGACCTCCTATCTCATCCTGTGACTAAGAATGCCTGACCTCCTGGGAATGCAGCCCAGTAAGGTCTCAGCCTTATTTTACCCAGCCCTTATTCAAGATGGAGTCACTCTTCTTCAAACACCTCTGACAACAATGCTACCAACAAATTTAAGAAATACATTAAACAGATAACTACTCTGTGTTTTTGCTGAGATGCACACCAGAGTCCAGGTTTCAGAACAACAACAAAATTAAACAAAAAATATTAATGTTATTGCTTTTCTTATGAACAAATCAAAGATCAGTATAAACTTATTCCTGTGTGTTCATTAAACACAAACAAGGCACTGGAAGTACCACAGGTTGACAGGGAAGGATCCCATAGTCCTTTTTCCCCAGAAGCTTAGAGAGTATCTTAAGAAGACCACATCAATAAATAATAGGAATGTAATGATAATATATGCAAATTTATTAATGAACAGGGAACAATAAGGGGGCAGCTAAAAGTATAATTAATCATCTAGAGAAGATACTAAGATACTAGAGAATTCTACCCAAAAGAAAGAAACCGATTTGAATACTGAAATTGATCAAGTATGATCCCAAAGTGTGTGCTTGTATGGAAGGACGGCATGGAGGAACGAGGGCCTGTGCCTCTCTGGAAACAGTGCCTGTCATCACTGGAGAATAGTGACAAATGGGAAGATGAATGTGGGACAGGATAGCAGCTGTTTCGTATGCTTACATCTGGATTTGGAATTCTACTTTCTAGGGCAGAGGTAATAAACATAGCTTTCTGGCTTGCAGATGAATTGCCTTTGTTCGGCAGGATGTTTCTAAATTCACTGGCTGTTCAGCACTCTACAGACCCTATTGCTCTCTATTGCATTGTTTTGGCTCTCCTCTTGTTTCTGTGACCTGCTAACCTGCCTGGCCCCCAGAAGGATTTTGAGCATGCAACCCTGTTATGAGACATAATGATCCATCAAGCATTTTGAATCTAGAGTGACATGCTAAGAAGTGGATTATTAAGAACATTTTCACAAATGTGTAAACAGGTATTAAAACAAGGTGAGAAAGGTTTTAAGATTCCAGGAGACAGATAAAATGTACCTGAGATAGAAAAATAGCAAAAGAGGGGCTGGGCATGGTGGCTCATGCCTGTAATCCCAGCACTTTGGGAGGCCGAGGCGGCTGGATCACCTGAAGTCAGGAGTTCAAGACCAGCCTGGCCAAAATGATGAAGCCCCATTTCTACTAAAAATACAAAAATTAGCTAGGTGTGGTGGTGGGAACCTGTAATCCCAGCTACTTGGGAGGCTGAGGCAGGAGAATTGCTTGAACCCGGGAAGTGGAGCTTGCAGTGAGCCAAGATCATGAGACTGCACCCCAGCCTGGGTGATAGAGCAAGACTCCATCAAAAAAAACAAACAAAAAAAAAAAAAAAAAAAGAAAGAAAAACAAAAATAGCAAAAGAGATAGAAAAATGAAAAAATAATCTGTGGTAGAATGGACAAGATACAATGATTAATTGAATGTTAATAATTGTTACAGGAATAGGAAAATTGGTAAAGTTTCAAATTCCAAATTCTTATGCACCTATATAGTAACACAAGTAAAGGAAAAGCAGTAAATAAAGAAAAAATATCCCATTTTCATTAGTTGTTGATAAAGGGTTAACTGGGCATGGTTAATGCAATTAAGCAATCCAATATATTTGAAATTGGGCATGGAGGCTGATAGGCAAAAGATTGTTAAACCAGAAGTACTGATTAATTACTTTATTGGACCATTAAACATCTGGCTTTCCTTTGTTACCCAATAAACTTAAACAGTTCATTAAAAACCAATGAAACATGACAAAAAAAATAGAGGTTTTGTTTTCTTATTTCTTTCAGTTTACCTATGGATTAGAGGATTTTATTTCCTTTTGAACTCACTTCCAAAAGCCTGATGGAAAGTCACGGATGTTGCTAAGTGATAGGAAATTGCTACCCCCAACTAAAAATCAGAAATTGCAAACCTATAACTCTTTAGTGATTGCAAATAAACCAAGTTGCAGAAGTAAGTAGGGAGGAAAAATTCCTTTCTTTTTGTGATATACACCACTGGATATAGACTTTCTGAAATTTATTTGCAACTCCAATGTTAACACTTCTTGGCAACCATTCCTTTCAGGGTACTATTTAACAACCATAAGTAGGTCAGAGCATTGAATGAAGACGACTTTGAATTCACGTTAAAATATATATACAGTTAGTGGTATAAATAAATTACTAAAGTTCCACCATACTAAGCAATTACTGTAGTATTTCATTTGTCTTCACAGATACAACTAGATAAAGAGATATGTCTATATCTAGATCTATAAGCTGTAAGGATTGTATTATACAGCTTATTTTTTAACTTTTATTTCTCACTTATTACATTTCTGAATATTTTTCTATATCAGATCCTTGATAGACAGATACTGCTTCAATCATTTATTATTGAACCAAGTAACTTTTATTGCAAATGTGCATTGTTATTAATTTTTTCAATTATAAATACTCTTCTGTTGAAAACTCTTGTCAAACATAAATGTGGTTTTATACAGTTATGCACTTTGGATAAATTCTGAGAAGTAAAATCTGTTGATTACAAAACAGGTAGCCAAGGTTCTTGTGTGTGTTGCCAAACTGAAACACATTAACTGAATTGAATTAATTAAATTAGTGATGTGGTTTGGCTCTGTGTCCCCATCCATATCTCATCTCAAATTGGAATCGCCACTCGTGGAGGGAGGGACCTGGTGGGAGCTGATTAGCTCATGGGGGTCGGTTTCTACCTTGCTATGCTCATGATAGTGAGTGAGTTTCATGAGAGCTGATGGTTTTAAAGTGTGGATTTCACTCCTTGCTCTCTTTCTCTCCTGCCACCTTATGAAGAAGGTGATTATTTCCCCTTCCCCTCCACCATGATTGTAAGTTTGCTGAGGCTTCCCAGCCATGCGGAACTGTAAGTCAATTAAACCTCTTTTATTTATAAATTACCCAGTCTTAGGTAGTTGTTTATAGCATGTGAAAACAGACTAATGCAATTAGAAAGAGTATTAATTAATTGTTAATTTAAGATCCAACGCATGAGGATGCTGCTGCAGCCATGAGATGCAGGAAACAATGATATAGATTTTGAACATCTCCAAATCTATATATTAAGACAGAGTAAATAGCAAAACCAAAGACATGGAAAATACTAACAATAAAATTAGGTTACAGATTATACCTACAAACCTCACATTATAAGCAGATAATTATAAACTTCCATTAGCCACAAAATCCACCTGATATCAGTGTCTCTGTGGAAGGGAACAAAGGGAAGGAATGGAGTGGCTGGCAGACATGCACTCTTACTGGCTAGCATGACTGTAGCATATTCTCCATACACTTTCATGGGCTAGCATGACTGACTAGTTGGAGATCAGGATCCAAAACTGGGTGTGGTTTTGCCCCTTCCAATAGAAGCTGGGTACAAGGAGAGTGTACAAAAGACTGAAGAGGCTGGACTATTCTGTCCCCTGTGAACTCTCAAAACCCACTTGCTAGAGAGCTCCCTCTAGAATTAAACCCTAGAATCCCACAGTGAAAAGACACTGTTAGGTGTGGAATTTTGAGTAGGGCAGGGATAATATTGAGAAGTAAAGAGAAGGCACATGTAAAACTGGAGAAGAGAGTCCAGAAATTTCAGAAAGCAATCCACTTATAACGTTAAAGTCTACATGAAGAGAACAGAAGAGGGAGCTGTGTGAAACGAGAAAGCTATCCTGAATCACACCTCTTTCTAGGAGTTCAAGATAATTAATTTTACAAAAAAATGAGCAACAGAAAAGTTTTGAGGGCAATTTCCATACTAAGTTAATAAAAGAAAAATGAGAATGAGGAGAATAATATGATTCTTATATATTATGAAAGCACAACAGAAAGATTACCACAGGAAAGATCAAAATACACACCTTAAAGGTGAGTTAAATAAGAAAGCATTTTAAGGCATGATAGAACCACATTAATCAGAATTTTGAAAACTTTAAATGAGATGAGAAAATTCAGGAAATAATTAGAAATAAATGATCACATTCAAATGGAGAATGAATTAGAAATAACACAAGCATGAATGAACCACTAAATAATTCCTTAAAAATAAAAAAGAAATACAGAAACAGATAAAAATTTTGAGACAACATTGCAAATAATGAAGTAAATTCATCCTATAGGTAATAAGTGTGCCTGCAGAATAAAACCAAAATAAGAGAATGTAACAAATACAAAAATTCTAATTCAAAACTTTCTTAAAATTAAATATATAATATATATTTGAAACTATATATTAAAGAGCACACCACTTATTGACAGTACCAACTTGAAATTTAGTAAAATTGCCAGGCTTTGTAGAAAAAAGAAAAAATATCATTTGCCACCTATGGGAATCTGGGGGAACCAAGATATTTCTAAAGCAAATAAAATCACATTATCATCATATGTTTCAACAGCAACACATGGACAGTATGAGGAAAACAGAGTAGTTTATATATAGAATAGTAGAATATATTTATATATTCAAGGAAGGAAAATGTGAGCCAAGGATTTTATATCCTGCAAATCTGACATTCAAGTGTAAAAACCACATACACAAAAACTATTATTAACTAACATGTAAATATTTGATGATATTGTTCCCAAAATACTTCCTAGGGAATTTACCAGATAATGAACTTGGACAAACAAAATAACTTAAAAGACATTCGTAAGGTGATAGGCATCCTTAAACATGTAGTTACTTATAGAACTAAGAATAAATTGAGATTATAAAGAAAGCGTGTATTTTGTTATGGCTCTAGGCTCAGGCAATGTCGATATTATACAAGTATTAAGATGGGGGAAATAGAATGTGGAGAGTACAGGAAAACAAATGTTACTTTTTTTGGTATACTGTTGGTGGTGGAATTAACAATGTTATTCTGAAATGGCTGTGTATAAATGGGCATACAGTAAATTTGCAATTATGGGATATTTTAAGTCTATCATCCACTGTATCCTTAAGAACCAGGATTCTCAGAAGGAGACAGACACAATGCAAAATAAATTACATTAAAATCTCATCTTGAATTTCAATTTGAAGCATTTATATGCATTCATGGGTAGTGTTTGTGTGTGTATGTGTGTGTGTGTCTAGCAGGTATGTAACATGCATAATATCTTTGTTTTGTCAACAGAAAAAGACTAGAAACAATAATCAACAACCTAGGAGTGATGAATAACTATCATGCCCAGATTAGAATCTTGAGATACCATGTTTCATTAAAAACAAAAAGAAAGTATCAAACATTTTTTTTTCTGCCATTCCTGTATGAACTGTACCATTGGGAAATCAAATAGTTGTGGATAAAAGAAAATGTTGCTTTATAAATGTCATTCTAAATGACAAATGAAGAAGCAGTTATAAAAGTCAAATATCACCATACTGCAACCTCCCAATGAATTAATGGATCCAAGCATTGAGTATCAACAGTCGCTAATAACACCAAAGATAGGCCATCCACATTTTATATCCTTTCTGTATTTTCACTAGTTGAGAGTACAATCCTGACTGAAGATGCAATCAACAATATTCAGACTGTGAAAAACTCTATGGCTCAAAAAGCATGGATTCTTCAACAGATAAACAGCAAAGAAAAGAAACAGATGAAGGAGGAGTCAGCGTATTAAAAGACTTAAAAGTTATAAAGATAAAATCTTGTGAGATAAAACTATAAAGACACTCAAGAATATGCTTACTATATAAAAGTCCAGATTGTGGGGAATGAATGTGTGGGCTGTGAGCCTTTCGAGGGGAAAGAGTATGAGACGTCAAGAATATCTGTGATGACTGACAAAATGTGATTGCTAGTCTTGGATTGTGGTTGCACGGGTGTTTGCCTTATAATATCTCACTAAGTTAGACATTTTTATGTTTTTCTGAATCTGTTTCCTTTTGCAGTAAACACGTTGAAACAAAAGAAAGGAAAAAAATCCTACCTGTGTGAGAGATTCTTTTCCCCCTACCACTTCACAATACTTGCTATGATTTTTTTTATTTCTTTACTTCTTTCTCTTCTCCATTTCCTTTGCACTCTCACTGCTAATTAGCAGTGTCTTGTATCTCCTTTGCATTTCTTTGATTGTAAGAAAGTGAATATTTTCTCATTTTTTTATATTAATATATTTTTCTTTGAGAGATTTTCCTCTTAGTGCTATTTAATCTATTTGATCGTAACTATATGATTGATTTCTAATCAATTTAAAATAATTCAACATCAAGATTGTTGTTCATAGGTTTAATCAATAAATTTGATATCCAAATTTTTATTTTGCATATACCTCATTAACTGTTTAAAAGTTTATATTAAGTATGGTTAAATATGTGTATTCTTCACTTTATCCTGTTTTTCATTTACGCTCAAAATTTCTCCCTTTACCTCAAAATAATAGCAATGTTTGTTCATACTTTTTTGGTTCTTACATGGTTACCCAGTGCATTCCCATGGTGACTCTTAATAGTATCTAACAACATTGATTAGTTTTTGAAATGTATGTAAATCCTATTGTATATACTCCTTTATACCATGACTCTTTTGCTCAAACTTATGTTTTTGATATTCTTCTCATTGATGTAAAGTAGTATTCTACATATGTATATATCATAAATTATTCATCTATTCTATTATTGCCAATTTCTGTTATTACAAATAGTGCCACTATAAACATCATGTATATGTACTTTGGTAAACATATGTTTGCATGCTGTCAGATATATCCCTAGCAGTGGAAATGTTGATCTTGGTGTGTGCGTATATTCAGCCTTTGTAGATACTGTCAAGCAATTTCTGAAGTGATTGACAACTGCTGATGCTACATGTTCTCAACAATATTTAATGTTAGTCATTTTATCTTAGACATTTTGTCATTGTGGTCTTAATTTGTATTTCTATGATAACTAATGAGGTTGTGTATCTTTCTATATGTTTATCAGCTATGTTGATAACCTCTTTTGTGAAGTGCCTCTAAATCTCTTGCCTTTTTTTCTCCATCTGGTTGACTATTTTTTAAAAAATTGATTTGCTGGTGTTCTTCATGTATTTTGGATAATAGTCTTTTGTCAGAAATTTGTACTGCAAATATAACCTTTAGAAAAATAATAAATTTGTTGTTAGATTTTTTTCTCAAGTATTGTATTGATAATGCTATTTTAAAGTGGGACCATTTCTTAAATTTATTTTCTATTCGTGGATTGTTACATGGAAATAAAATTGATTTCTTATGTTGACCTTTTATCCAGCTATCTTGTGAATTCACTTAGTAAGTCCTAAGTCCTAAGTAAAGATTCTTTTGAATGTTGTTCATTCCATTTATGTCATCAGCAAATAATGACAGCCTTATTTCTTCCCTTTGATGGCCTCTACCATTTGTTTTCTGTTTTATGACACTAGGAAGGAATGGTACTGTGCTGTTAGCAAAGGATGTTAAAGTAGAGGAAAGGTTCTCAACATGTGTTAGCAAAGGATGTTAAAGTAGAGGAAAGGTTCTCAACATGTTTTACTTAAATTGCTCTTTATCGAATCAGTGAATTTCTCTTCTAATCCTAGCTTACTCAGAGTTTTTATAATGAATAGATGCTGTGATGATCATATGTTTTCTATTTTGTCTTGTTACTATAGCAAATGTTATGATTAATTTTTAAGAAATTAAGCTAATATTTCATTTCTGGAAGAAACACAATTCAATGTGGTATCTCTTTTAAAATTATCCTGGATTTGATAACATTTTCTTTAGGAAATTTTTATTCAAATTTATGAGATATTGGATTATAACTTTCTTACAATGCCCTTGTCATATATTGGTAATAAAGTTTTGGACTCATAAAATATGTTGGAAAGTATAGTAGGTTCAATGGTGACCGCCAAAATATATGTCTGTGGACTACCCCTTCAGAACTGTGAATATGAATGACCTTAGTTGAGGATGTTTTGACAATGCAATTAAGTTAAGGATCATAAAATGCAGTCATTCTGGATTTAGTGTGGGCCCTAAATCCAGTGATAGCTTTCCTTACAAGAGAAAGGCAGAGGGAGAATGGAGACACAGAAAAAGGTAAGAAGTCCACATACGGACCCATGTGAGGCAGAGATTTTAGTTACCTGTGACAGATCAAGGAAATCCTATAGTCTAAGGTTGAACAAAGCAAGGTAGGATTCTCTTTTACAGACTTCAAAGGGAGCATGGCCCTGCTGGCACCTTAGTTTTGGACTTATGGCCTCCACAACTGTGAAAGAAGAGATTTGAATTGTTTTAAGCCATCAATTTGTCATCTTTTGTTACAGCAGCCCTAGGAAACTAACAGAGGAAATAATCCCTCTGTTCCTACATCTGGAGTTTATATAAGATTGGTCACTATTTTTTCCTTAAATGTTTAGGAGAATTCATTCATGAAACCAACTGAGCTGGATGATTAATTTACAGAAATCATTTTAATTAAAAATCTATTTCTTTCTTCTTTCTTTTTTTTTTTTTTTTTTTGATGGAATCTCACTCTGTCACCCAGGCTGGAGTTTAGTGGTGTGATCTCGGCTTACTACAACCTCTGACTCCCGGGTTCAAGTGATTCCCCTTCTCAGCCTCCCAAATAGCTGGGACCACAGGCGCGTGCCACCACACCCATCTAATTTTTTGCATTTTTAGTAGAGACGGGGTTTCACCGTGTTAGCCAGGATGGTCTCCTGACCTAGTGATCTGCCCACCTCTGCCTCCCAAAGTGCTGGGATTACAGGCGTGAACCACTGTGCCCAGCCAAAATTCTTTGTCTTTAAAAGATATAAGAAACTGCAAATTTGTATATAATTTTGAAGGAATTTTAGTGAGTTGCACTTTTGCAGGAAAATTTCATCTAAATATTCAAATTTATTGCACAAATGTTCATAATATCCTCTATTACGTTTTATCTATTAAACTTTTTATTTTGAAATCATTGAAGATTCACATGCAGTTGTAAGAAAAATACAGAGGAATCCATGTATGTACCCTTTAACATTCCCCCAAAGGCAAAATCTTCCAAAACTATAATACAATATCAGAACCAAGATATTGGTATTATAAAGTCAAGATACAAAACATTTCCATCACTAAAAGTATCCCTTATCTTGCCCTTTTAAATCTACATTTACTTCCCTTCTAGCTCCACCCTTGCCTTAAAACCTAGAAGCCATTAATCTATTCTTCATTTCTATAATTTTGTCATTATACTTTGTAGTATGGGTGTACTACAGTTTGCTTAAACATTCACCCATTGAAGGACAGCTGGGTTGTTTCCAATTTTTGACCTTTATGAGTAAGGCTTCTGTAAACATTGATGTACAAGTTTTTGTATAAAGACAAGTTTTCCATTTCCTAAAATAAGTGACCAGGAGTAAAACTGCTGGGTCATATAGTAAATGTATGCTTATTTTTTTGTAAGAAGCTGCTAAACTCTTCTGCAGAGTGACTAAGCTGTTTTATATTCCTACCAGCAATGCATGAGTTATCCAGTTTCTTTACCAGCACTTGATGTCACTAGTTTTTAGTTTGGCCATTCTGATGTGTATGGTGATAGCTCATTGTGGTCTTAAGTGTAATTTCTTTAATACCTAGTGACACTATTCCAAAAGATAGAAAAAGAGGGAAAACCCCCTAAATCATTATATCAAGCCAGTATCACCCTAATACCAAAACCTGGAAAGGACATAATGAAGAAAACTACAGACCAATATACCTGATGAACATAGATGCAAAAATCCTCCACAAAATACTAGCCAAACAAATCTAGCAGCATATTAAAAAGATAATCCATCATTATATTATAATAAAGAAAGGTCATCAAAATCATAAAAAGGAAGTCAAACTGTCGCTGTTTGCTGAGTACATAATCATATACCTAGAAAATCCTAAAGACTCATCCAAACAGCTCCTAGAAATGGTAAATAAATTCAGTAGTTTCAGGATGCAAAATTAATGTACACAAATCAGTAGCCCTGCTGTACACCACCAGCAACCAGGCTGAGAATCAAATGGAGAACTAAACCCCTTTCACAATAGCTGCAAAAAATTTAAAATACTCAGGTATCTACTTAACCGAGGAGGCGAAAGACCTCTACAAGGCAAACTACAAAACACTGCTGAAAGAAATTATAGACAACAGAAACAAACGGAAACACAACCCTATGCTCATGTATGGGTAGAATCAATATAGTGAAAATACCATACTGCCAAAATCAATCTACAAATTCAATGAAATTCCCATCAGAATGCCATCATCATTCTTCACAAAACTAGAAAAAACAATCCTAATATTCATATGGAACCAAAAAAGAGCCCACATAGCCAAAGCAAGATTAAGCAAAAAGAACAAATCTGGAGGCATCACATTACCTGACTTTAAACCATACCATAAGGTCATAATCACCAAAACAGCATGGTACTGGTATAAAAATAGGCATATAAACCAATGGAGTAGAATAGAAAACTCAGAAATAAAGCCAAATACTTTAGCCAACTCATCTTCAACAAAGCAAACAAAGACATAAAGTGTCTTTATTCAACAAATGGTGCTGGGATAATTGCCAAGTCACATGTGAAGAATGAAGCTGGATCCTCATCTCTCACTTTATACAAAAATCAACTCAAGGTTGATCAAAGACTTAAATCTAAGACATGAAACCATAAAAATTCTAGACGATAACATTGGAAAACCCTTCTAGACTTTGGCTTACCCAAAGACTTCCTGAGCAAGCATCCAAAAGCAAAAGCAACATAAACAAATATAAATACATGGGACTTAATTAAACTAAAAAGTTTCTGCATAGCAAAA
Source organism: Homo sapiens (assembly GCF_000001405.40). Taxonomy (NCBI): domain Eukaryota; kingdom Metazoa; phylum Chordata; class Mammalia; order Primates; family Hominidae; genus Homo; species Homo sapiens. Next base: position 81,692,661 of record NC_000010.11, read on the forward strand.
GAAATAACCAGCAGTGTAAACAGACAACTCACAGAGTGGGAGGAAATCATAATCTATACATCCAACAAAAGACTAATATCCAGAATCTACAAGGCACTCAAACAAATCAGCAAGAAAAAAAAAAACAATTCCATTAAAAAGTGGGCTAATGACATGAATAGACAATTCTCAAAAGAAGATATTCAAATGGCCAACAAATGTGAAAAAATGCTCAACATCACTAATAATCAGGGAAATGAAAATCAAAACCACAATGCAATACCACCTTATTCCTCCAAGAATTGCCATAATCAAAAAATCAAAAATAAAAGATGTTGGCATGGATGTGGTGAAAAGGGAATGCTTTTACACTGCTGGTGGGAATGTAAACTAGTACAACCACTATGGAAAACAATGTGGCGATCCTTAAAGAACTAAAAGTAGATCTATCATTTGATCCAGCAATCTCACTACTTTGTATCTATCCAGAGTTGAAAAGAAGTTATTATACAAAAAAGATACTTGTACATGCATGTTTATAGCAGCACAATTCGCAATTGCAAAAATATGGAACCAGCCCAAATGCCCATCAATCAACAGGTGGATAAAGAAAATGTGGTATGTATATATATCATGGAATACTACTCAGCCATATAAAGAACAAAATAATGACACTTGGAGCAATGTGGATGGAACTGAAGAACATTATTCTAAGTGAAGTAACTCAAGAATGGTAACCCAAATATCATATGGTTTCACTCAGTGAGAACTAAGTTATGAGGACACAAAGGCATAAGAATGATACAATGGACTCTGGGAACTCGGGGTAAAGGATGAGAGATGGGGTGAGGGATGAAAGACGACACATTGAGTACAGTGTACACTGCTAGGGTGACAGTTGCACCAAAATCTCAAAAATCACCACTAAAGAACTTATTCACGTAACAGAACGCCACCTGTTCCCCAAAAGCCAATTGAAATTATGTATGTGTGTCTGTGTGTGTGTGTGTGTGTGTGTGTGTGTGTGTGTATATACATATGGGATATATATATGGGATATAAATATATATATGGGATATATATATGTGATATAAATATATATATGGGATATATATGGGATATAAATATATATGGGATATATACATATGGGATATAAATATATATATGGGATATATATGGGATATATATATGTGGGATATATATGGGATATATATATGGGATATATATATGGGATATATATATACATGGGATATATATATATGGGATATATATATGTGGGATATATATATATGGGATATATATATATGGGATATATATATATGGGATATATATATATGGGATATATATATATGGGATATATATATATGGGATATATATATATGGGATATATATATGGGATATATATATATGGGATATATATATTATATATATATGGGATATATATATATTATATATATATGGGATATATATATATTATATATATATGGGATATATATATATTATATATATATATGGGATATATATATATTATATATATATATGGGATATATATATATTTTATATATATATGGGATATATATATATTTTATATATATATATGGGATATATATATATAATATATATATGGGATATATATATATTATATATATATATATGGGAGATATATATATTATATATATATATATGGGATATATATATATTATATATATATATATGGGCCAGAGAGATATATATATGTGTGTGTGTGTGTGTGTGTGTGTGTGTGTGTATATATGTGTATATATATATATGGGATATGTATATATCCCAAGAGAAAAAAAGTCTTTTACACATGCCCGAATTTTTGTTTACCATCTACTTTTTTTTCTTACTGTTGTTCTAAAGTGCCTTTTTTCATCATTTCCTTTGTATTTAGTGAACTTCCCTTAGCTTTCTTTTGGGGTAGGTTAGCTGTCAACGAATTATCTTAGCTGTCTTTCATCTGAGAATGTGTTGATTTTCTCTTTCTGAAACATAGAATTCTGGGTTGACGTTCTTTTCTTTCAGCTCTTAAAAAGTGTTGTGCTACCTCCTCTGGTATCTGAGGTTTCAAATGAGAAATCCATTATCATTTAAATTGTTTTTCTGCTACAGATGAAGCATCCTTTCTCTTCTGCTGCCTTCAAGAGTCTTTTATAACAGCTCCAATTCTAACCCTCCTGCCTCTCTCTTAAAGGAAACATATTATTACATTGCCTCCCTCCCCCGATAATCTGGGATAATCTTTGTATCTCAAGATTCTTAATTAATCACATCTGCAAAGTGATTTTTGCCATGAGAGGTAACATATTCATGGACCCTAGTGATTAGGACATCTTTGAGTACCTTTGAGAAGGCCATCATTCTGTCTACTACATTTTCCAACATATGAGTTAAGCAGTTCCCAGATCCCAAAACTGAGTGGGGAATGGACCACAGAAAAATTCTTCATTGACATAAATCAAAAACGTGTTATAAAGTATTAACTAATTGTAGCCTTAACATATAAAACTTGTAATACACACTAACCAAATTGTTTTTCCCAGGCCAATAATAAAGGCTTTGGTTAAACATGCAGTAATCAATCAATATAATTCAACATATAAAACATTAAAGAAGCAAAAAATATATGACTATCTCAATAGATTTACCAAAAAAAAGCCAAGAAAGACAAATTTTGAAACCAAGTATTTTAAAAATTGCTGTCATTAAAAACAATCAAAAAGAACAACAAAGTATTAGTGAGAACCATATGAATTGAAGTTTCAAAGTAAGGATAGAAAAGTCAAGGATATTAAATTAATAATCCTTGATAAAATATAAAATATAAATATAATTTTAAAAGGGTAAGAGATTTAAAGAAAGTGTGAGTACACAGTTCTCTTCTTTCATTATAATAATTCAATATAATATAATCTAAATGTAGTAAATTAGGAAGCAAACAGTTTATTTCAAACGATTGTAATGAAAACGAGCAGAAATAAATGTATGACTGTAGACTATAACAAGACAAGATGAGCATTTAGGGAGGGAGGATATTGAAAGATTAAGAATAAAGATTTCATGTTTTTAATTGGGAATAAACTTACACTGTCTAAAGTTAATAAATAAAGAAATGGAAGTTAGGGTCTGTGTGTGTGTGTGTGTGTGTGTGCGCACGTGCATGTGCATGCTCATGTGTACGTGCTTGTGTCTGTCTTTGTTCAGGCTGTTATAACAAACTACCATAGGTTGAATGGCTGATAAAGAACAAACATTTATTTTACACAGTTCTGGAGACCAAGAAGTTCAAGAACAATGTGACGGCATACTTGGTATCTGGTCACTGTCTACTTTCTATTATATTTCATAGAATTTTATCTTCTTGCTGATTTCTCACATGGTGAAAGGGGTAGGGGAGCTCATTGGAGACTCCTTTATAACAGCATTAAACCCATTTATAAGGGCTCTGCCCTTATAACCTAATTACTTTCCAGAGGCCCTAATTCCTAATAGTATCATATTCAAGGTTAGGATTTCAATATGTGAATTTGGTCAGGGATCAAGCATTCAGTTTATAGTTGTTTATGTGTATGTGAAGTATATAGCTGTAAACAAAGAAAAGAGGGAATATAAACTTTAAATACTTAGAAGAAAAACCTACATACAAAAAAAAATAAGGAAACTCAAGTGACATCACAAAATATAGGTGAAAAAATGTACCTAAACGGAGAAAAAAATGTACCTAAACATAACAAAACAAACAAATTAAAATGATAAAAATAAGATCAAACATATTTTCTTCATAATAAAAAGTAAAACTTGTGAAAGAAAACAACACTCAGATCCTGCTAAAATATACCAAGCATATCTGAAACAAAATAACTCATGAATGTTATAAAAGAATTCAATGAACAAAGACAGAGCATGTATTTGCAAACAAAAAGTAAGGAAAAGTTATGATATAAAAATCAAGTTAAAAAAAGCATTTGAGCCATAGGGTGAACCCAGGATGGCCGACTAAAAGCAGCCGTGATCAGAGGCTCCCACGGAAAAAAAGCATAATAACCATGTGAATCCTTCATCGGCAACCAAGGTATCCACGTTCTCTCATCAAACTGGCTGACAGGCTGACATAACCCATGGGGAGAAGGAAGAGCAGTGTGGTGCTCTAGCCCACCTGCAAGCCACACAGAGAAGGGGAACACTCCCCACCACCCCCAGGCAAGGAGGCAGTGAGTGAGCACACTACTCAGCTGGGGAAAATGTGCTTTTTCCACAGAGCTGTGCAACCCATGGATTGGGAGATCCCACTAGAGAACCCAGGCCACCAGGGCATAGCATCTCAAACCTGGAACAAGCAGATTCTTACAGCCTCTCAGCTGGAATTTGCTTAAGGCTACTGAACTCCCAGGGGGAGGAGCCACCAGCACCAGCTGCAGCTGCCTGCTTCTAAGCTATTTGACCTTGGGAGAGGGGCAGCAGCTAGCCCTGGGACTTGCAACTGCCAAACACGCTTGAACCGGGGAAGGGCAGCACCCATTTCTATAGCTCCAGGCTGCAGTCTTCCTCTGCTGGAGCCAGGAAGGCTGGATGGCTGGGTCCCAAGACTTGTTCCCACAGCCCAACATAACAGCTGTGGCAGTCTGCAGCCAGAGTCCTTTTCAGGCCGAACCCTGATCTATCCTTCCTCAGTGCATGGGGCTTCCCCGTAGGATCTCCAATAACAACAGCCAGAGGCTCAGGGACAAAATTCAGATCTCCCTGGGCCTGAGCCCCTAGCAGGAGATGTGGCTGCAGTGCCTGCGGACCAGCAAACCTAGCCTCTCCTCCTGGTAGTTCTGAGAAATCTGGGCAGCCCAGACAAGAGGGTTCCCCCTAGTGAAACACACCCTCTCCACGAAGGGACAAAGTACTTCACTGAACGGGTCATGCTTCCCATGCCACCCAATTGGGTGAGATGCTCCAACAGGGGTTGTCAGATACCCTATACAGGAGTGATCCTACTACTATCAGTTTGGTGCTCCTCAATATCAGAGGTCCCAGAAGAAGGAGCAGGTATCCAGCTTTGCTGCTCTCCAGCCTCCTTGAGTGATATCTCTTGGAACAGGAAGGAATAGGACTTGAAGTGAACCCCCAGAAAACTGCAGCAGCCATACAGAAGAGGGACCTGACCGTCGAAAGAAGAACAAACAAGCAGAAAGCGACAACAACAGCATCAAATAAAACAACAACAAAAGAGCACCCACAAGAACCCTATCCAAGGGTCAGCAGCCTCAAAGACCAAAACTAGACAAACTCACGAAAACGAGAAAGAATCAATGAAAAAATGCTGAAACCCAAAATTCCAGAGTGCCCCTTCTCCTCCAAATGATTGCAACATCTCTCCATCAAGGACACAGAACTGGACGGAGAATCAAATGGACAAACTGACAGAAGTAGGCTCCAGAAGATGGGTAATAAAAAACTACAATGAGCTAAAGGAGCATGTTCTAACCCAATGCAAAGAAGCTAAGAACCTTGATAAAAGGCTAGAGGAATTGCTAACTGGAACAACCAGTTAAGAAAGGAACGTAAACGACCTGATGGAGCTGAAAACCACAGCATGAGAACTTCATGAAGCATACAAAGTATCAACAGCCAAATCAACTAAGCAGGAAAATGGATGTTAGAGTTTGAAGACCACCTTACTGAAATAAGACTTGCAGGCAAGAATAGAGAAAAAAGAATGAAAAGGAATGAACAAAACCTCCAGGAAGTATGAGACTGCATAAAAAGAAAGAACCTACAATTAATTGGAGTACCAGAAGGAGATGGGGAGAATGGAAACAAGCTGGAAAACACACTTAAAGATATTATCCAGGAGGACTTCCCCAACCTAGCAAGACAGGCCAACATGCAAATTCAGGAAATACAGAGAACATTAAGATACTCCATGAGATGACCAACCCCAAGACACATAATCATCAGATTCTCCAAGGTCAAAATAAAAGAAACACTGTAAAGAGCAGCCAGAGAGAAAGGCCAGGTCACCTACAAAAGGAAGCCCATCAGACTAACAGTGGACCTCTCAGCAGAAACTCTACAAGTCAGAAGAGATTGGGGGCAAATATCCAACATTATTAAATAAAAGAATTTTCAACTCAGAATTTCATATACAGCCAAACTAAGTTTCATAAGCGAAGGAGAAACCAAATTCTTTCCAGATAAGCAAAGGATGAGGAATTCCATTACAACCAGGCCTGCCCTGCAAGAGCTCCTGAAAGAGCACTAAATATAGAAAGGAAAAACTGGTACCAGCCACTACAAAACATGCCAAAATATAAAGACAAATGACACTATGAAGAAATCACATCAACTAGTGTGCAAAATAACCAAATAGCAGCATGACGACAGGATCAAATTCACACATAACAATACTAACCTTAAATGTAAATGAACTAAATGCCCCATTAAAAGACACAGACTGGCAAATTGGATAAGGACTCAAGACCTGTAAGTGTGCTGTTTACAGGAGACCCAACTTACATGCAAAGACACACACAGGCTCAAAATAAAGGGATGGAGGAAAGTTTACCAAGCAAATGGAAAGAAAGAAAAAAAAAAAGCAGGGTTGCAATCATAGTCTCTGAAAAAACAGGCTTTAAGCCAACAAAACTCAAAAAAAGACAAAGAAGGTCATTACATAATGGTAAAAAGAACAATTCAGCAAGAAGAGCTAACTTTCCAAATATGCATGCATCCAATACAGGAGCACCTAGATTCACACAACAAGTTCTTAGAGACCTACAAAGAGACTTAGACTCCCACACAAAATAGTAGCAGACTTTAACACTCTGCTGTCAGTATTAGACAGATCAAAGGGACAGAAAATTAACAAAGAGATTCAGGACTTTAACCCAGCTCTTGATCAAGCAGACCTAGTAGACATCTACAGAACTCTCCACCCCAAATCAACAAAATACACATTCTTCTCACTGCCACATGGCACTTATTCTAAAATCAACCACGTAACTGGAGGTAAAGCAATCCTCAGCAAATTCAAAAGAACTGAAATCATAACAAACAGTCTCTCAGAAGGCAGTGCAATCAAATTAGAACTCAGGATTTATAAACTCATTCAAAACCACACAATTTCATGGAAACTGAACAACCTGCTCCTGAATGACTCCTTGGTAAATAATGAAATTAAAGCAGAAATCAAGAATTTTTTTAAACCAATGAGAACAAAGAGACAACCTACCAAAATCTCTGGGACACAGCTAAAGCAGTGTTAAGAGGGAAATTTATAGCAGTAAAATGCCCACATGAGAAAGCTAGAAAGATCTCAAATTGACACTCTAACATTACGATTAAAAGAGCTAGAGAGGTAAGAAGACAAGAAATAACTTAGATCAGAGAAGAATTGAAGGAGATAGAGACACAAAAACCCCTCCAAAAAATCAACAAACCCAGGTACACGTTTTTTGAAAAAATTAACAAAATAGACAGACCGCTAGCTAGACTAATAAGGAAGACAAGAGTGAAGAATCAAATAGTCATGATAAAAAACAAGAAAGGGGATATCTCCACTGACCCCACAGAAATACAAATTACCATGAGAGAATATTATAAACACCTCTACACAAATAAACTAGAAAATCTAAAAAAAAAAAATGTATAAATTCCTAGATGCATATACCCTCCCAAGACTAAACCAGGAAGAAGTCAAATCACTGAATAGACCAATAGTAACAAGGTCTAAAATTGAGGCAGTAATTAATAGCCTACCAACCTAAAAAAAACTCTGGAGATGGATTCATAGTTGATTTCTACCAGAAATACAAAGATGAGCTGGTACCATTCTTTCTGAAACTATTTTTAAAAAATGAAAAAGAGGGAATTTTCCCTAACTCATTTTATGAAGCCAGCATCATCTTGATACCAAAACCGGGAAGAGACGCAACAAAAAAAGAAAACTTCAGGTCAGTATCCCTGATGAACATCAAAATGAAAATCCTCAAGAAAATACTAGCAAACCAAATCCAGGAGCACATCAAAAAATTTATCCACCAAGGTCCACTCGGCTTCATCCTTGGGATGCAAAGCTGGTTCAACATGCGCAAATCAACTCAAACGGAAACAAAGACATAAAAAGAACCAAATCACATAACAGAACCAAAGACAAAAACCACAGGATTATCTCATAGATGCAGAAAAGGCCTTTGAAAAAATGCAACATCTTTTTATGTTAAAAACTCTCAAGAAACTAGGTATTGATGGAACATATCTCAAAATAATAAGCTACTTATGACAAATCCAAAGCCAATATCATATTGAATGGGCAAAAGCTGGAAGCATTCCCTTTGAAAACCAGTACAAGACAAGGATGCCCTCTCTCAAGGCTTCTATTCAACATATTATTGAAAGTTCTGCCCAGGGCAATCAGGCAAGAGAAAGAAATAAAGTGTATTTGCATATTAAGAGCGGAAGTCAAGTTGTCTCTGTTTGCAGATGACATGATTTTATATTTAGAAAAGCCCATCATCTCAGCCCAAAAGTTTCTTGAACTGATAAGCAACTTCAGCAAAGTCTCAGGATACAAAATCAATGTACAGAAATCACAATCACTCCTTTACACTAACAATAGGCAAGCAGAGAGTCAAATTATAAGTGAACTCCCATTCAGGATTGCTACAAAGAGAATAAAATACCTAGGAATCCAGCTAACAAGGGATGTGAAGGACCTCTTCAAGAGAACTACAAACCACTGCTCAAGGAAATAAGAGAGAACAGAAACAAATGGAAAATAATTCCATCCTCATGGATAGGAAGAATCCATATAGTGAAACTGGCCATACTGCCCAAAGTAATCTATAGATTCAATGTTATTCCCATCAAACTACCATTGACATTCTCCACAGAATTAGAAAAAATTATTTTAAATCTCTTATGGAATCAAAGAAGACCTCATATAGCCAAGACAATCCTAAGCAAAAAGAACAAAGCTGGAGGAATCATGCTACTTGACTTCAAACTATTCTATAATGCTACAGTAACCAAAACAGCATGGTAATGGTACCAAATCAGACATATAGACCAATGGAACAGAACAGAGACCTCGGAAATAACACCACACATCTACAACCATCTGATCTTCGACAAACCTGACAAAAGCAAGTGATGGGGAAAGGATCTCTATTCAGGAAATGTTGCTGGAAAAACTGGCCAGCTGAATGCAGAAAACAAACTGGACCCCTTCCTTACAGCTTATACAAAAATTAACTCAAAATGGATTAAAGACTTAAATGTAAAACCTCAAACCATAAAAACCCTAGAAGAAAACCTAGGCAATATCATTCAGGACATAGGCATGGGCAAAGACTTCATGACGAAAATGCCAAAAGCAATTGCAACAAAACCCAAAATTGACAAATGGGATCTAATTAAACTAAAGAGCTTCTGCATAGCAATGGAACTATCATCAGCATGAACAGGCAACCTACAGAATGGGGGAAATTTTTGCAATCTGTCCAGCTGACAAATGTCTAATATTCCGAATTTACAAGGAACTTAAACATATTTGCAAGAAAAAAAACAAACAACTCCATCAAAAAGTGAGCAAAGGATATGAAAAGTCACTACTCAAAAGAAGACATTTACGTGGCCAACAAACATACGTGAAAAAAGGCTCAATATCACTGATCATCAGAGAAATGCAAATGAAAACCACAATGAGGTACCATCTCACACAAGTTAGAATGGTGATTATTAAAAAGTCGGGAAACTTTATATGCTGGTGAGGCTGTGGAGAAATAGGAATGCTTTTTCACTGTTGGTGGGAATGTAAATTAGTTCAACCATTGTGTGAGAGAGTATGGCAATTCCTCAAGGATCTAGAACCAGAAATAACCATTTGACCCAGCAATCCCATTACTGGGTATATAGCCGAAAGAATATAAATCATTCTACTATAAAGATACATGCACACGATGTTTATTGCAGCACTATTTACAATAGCAAAGATATGCAACCAATGCAAATGCCCATCAATGACAAACTGGATTAAAAAAAGTGTTACTTATACACCAGGGAATACTATGCAGCAATAAAAAGGAAAGAAATCATGTTCTTTGCATGGACAGGGCTGAAGCTGGAAGCCATCATACTCAGCAAACTAACACAGGAATAGAAAACCAAACATCACATGTTCTCTCTCATAAGTGGCAGTTGAACATTGAGATCACATGGACACAGAAAGGAGAACAACACACACCAGGGCCTGTTGTGGGGTGGGGGCTGAGCAGAGGGAACTTAGAGGATGAGTCAATAGTTGCAGCAAACCACCATGGCACACATATAACTACGTAACAAACCTGCACGTTCTGCTGTTATCCTGTTTTTTTTAATAGAAAAAATAAAGAAAAAATAAAAAATAGAAAAGCATTTGAGTCATTTTGTATTGAAAATGTTGCAATCCTTTATAAAGGTCCTTAATGGATGTTTATTGATTATTTTATACTTTTATTCTCCACTTTCAGAGTTTGAGAGATAAATTAGAATAACTGAAACAATAGAGGTCTCAAATGATAGAATAAATAAGTAGTTTTGATATATATGCAATATGCGTGAACACACACACTCATAACTAGTATGTTCTGTAAAAATGGAATGTCTTTTCAAATGCACGTAGAAATTGTTTAAAAATTCACGTTGTAAAAAATCAAAGAAAAATTATAATTCACAGAATTAATACAGCACAACATAATTTAAAGTAATGCAGTGAATGAGTTTGTTCTCATTTATCTTTCTGAAAATTTTAAGCACAAAGCAAATTTATTTCAAAGTATTTTTCAGGTTTTTATTCTACTTTAATTTATTCTGAAGTGAAATTCATCAGTTGGCTGTTAATTTCTTAATGTTTTGGCTATCTTTCTTAGGCTAACATATTAGCTTATATGTTTTACATTTTATTGGAGATCTAATCTTTTTCTCCCTTATCACTTCTCCAGCCCAGTACATTTTTTTAAACACTTGGTGACATGGTTTGGATGTCTGCACCTTCCAAATCTCATTTTGCACTGTAATTTCCAGTGTTAGAAGTGGGGTCTGGCGGGAGGTGATTGTATACTGGGGACAGAGCGCTTATGGATAGCTTAGCACCATGCACTTGGTAACAAGCAAGTTCTCTGAGTTCACCTAAGATCTGGTTGTTGAAAAGAGAATTGCACCTCCCTACTGCCTTGCCCTGTTCTTGCCACATGGTGTGTTGCTCCTGCTTTGCCTTCTGCCATGAGTAAAAGCTTTCTAAGGCTTCACCAGAAGCCAAGAGATGTAAGAACTATGCTTGCGCACCCTGCAGAATCATGAGCCAATTAAACTTATTTTTCTTTATAAATTACTCAGCCTCAGGTACTCCTTTATAGTGATGCAAATAGGCTAACAAGAAAATAGGTACCGAGAAGTTGGGCATTGCTACAAGGGTATCGGAAGATGTGGAATAAGCTTTGGAATTAGGTAACAGGCAGAGGTTGGAAGAGTTTGGAGTACTCAGAAGAAGATAGACAGATGAGGGAAAGCTTGGCACTTCTTAGAGACTGGTTAAATGATTGTGACCAAGATGCTGATAGAGATATGGACAGTGAAGTCCAGGCTGATGAGATGTCAGATGGAAACGAGAAAGTTATTGCGGACTAGAGTAAATGTCACCCATGTTATGCCCTAGCAAAGAACTTGGCAGCTGTATTGTGTTTATGTCCTTGGGATCCATGGAATTTTGAACTGAAGTGGTGACCTAGGATATCTAGTGGAAGAAATTTCTAAGCACAAAGAGTTCGAGAGGTGGGTTGGGTTCTTCAAACAGCATATGGTCTTATATGAGAGCAAAGAAATGATGCAAAATAGAAAATTATAATTAAAAGGGAAGCAGAGCATAAAATTTGGAAAATTCATAGCCTAGCCATGTGGCAGAGAAGGAAAAATAATTTTCAGAAGAGGAATACAAGTGAATTGCTGAGAGATTAACATGACTAAATGGGAGCCAAGAGCTAATATCCAAGACAATGGGAACAAGCTTCAAAGGCATTTCAGAAATCTTCCAGGTTGTCCCTGTCATCACAGGTCCAGAGACTTTGGAGGAAAGAATGGTTTTGTGGGCCAGGCCCAGGGTACCAGTGCTCTGTGTCATCCTGGGAGGCTGTTTCTTGCATCCAGGCCACTCAGGCTCCAGTCTCAACTCACAGAGCCTCAGACACAGTTCAGGCCACTGCTCCAGAGGGTGTAAGCTGTAATCGTTGGTGGCTTCCCTATGGTGTGAAGCCTGCAGGTGCAAAGAATGCAAATGTGAAGGAGGCTTGAAAAATTTCTCCTAGATTTCAGAAAGCCTTTGTGCCCAGTCAGAAACCAGCCGCAGGGGCAAAGCCCTTGCTGAGAAATTCTACTAAGGCAGTGTGAAGTGAAATGTGAGGTTGGAGCCCCCACACAGAGTCTCCACCAGGGCATTGCCTACTGGAGCATTGGAAAGTAGTCCACCGCTCTCCAGACCCCAGAACACAGACAGCTTGCTTGCTGAGTCTTCTCGCACTGTCTTTTTTCTCATGACATGCCAGACACTTTGCTTTTACTACTCCTACCCTTGAATGTCAGACTCCAAGTTCTTCAGCCTTTGAACTCTGGGACTTGCATCAGTGTCCTCCCAGGGACTCTTGGGCCTTCAGCCTCAGACTGAGGGCTGCACCATCAGCTCCCTGGTTTTGAGGCTTTCAGATTTATACGGGGCCATGGTACCAGCTTCTGTGTTTCCAAGATATATTATATATATGTAATACATGTGTATAAACATATATACACATATATATGTATGTTATCATATATATGATCTGTGTATCATATATATATCCTATTAGTTGTAAATACATTTATTAGGATATATACTCTGTCCCTCCAGAGAACCCTGACTAATACACCTGTTAATCCAGGTTCTCTAATAAAAAACCAGATTCTGACCTGACATTCAAAAATAAAATACACACTAGATCCCCCAGTTAATGAACAAGAAGAGCACCAAAAAATTATTTCTATGCACCGTTATTTTGTTATCCCATCTTTTATCTCCTTGCTCAGAATTAATAACTATACTCAGTGGTGTATGTTTTCTTTTTAAAATTTTTGTTCTTCATGTAAACACATATGTCAAAACAATAAATTCTTTGGATTTTCTCATCTGAAAATTGCATATAAAAGATATGTAATTTTGTAGGACTTCTCCTTAGGCAAGATATTATATTCCTTTAAAAAACTTTTTTGAGTCAGGGTCTCACTCTGTTGCTCAGGCTGGAGTGCAGTAGCATGATCATAGCTCACTGCAGCCTCGAACACCTGAGTTTAAGCGACCTTCCAACGTCAGCTTCCTGAGTAGCTGGGACTATAGGCATTTTCCACCATGCCTAAGTTTTAAATTTTTGTAGAGAGAGGGTCTTGCTATGTTGCCCAAGCTGGTCTCAAATTCCTGGCCCCAAGCATTTCCTCCCACCTTGGCCTCTGAAAGCACTGGGATTACAGGTATGAACCACCATACCTGGCCAATATATTACTATGTTTTACCCATGTTATTTTATATAGCTGTAATTCTTTTTGTATCTTTGTGTATTCCATTGTAAGAATATTCCATAATACTATTTTGGTATCCTTTCTCTTTTCTATGAATATATTATAATATGTGTGGTTTACAGGATTTTTGCTATTATTAGCATTCTTTTAAATGTCACTTGTTATTTATATGAGATTTTAATGGATTTATACACAAAGTGAAATTGCTATAGTGTATGATAAATGAAATTTCAGCATTATGAGTGACTGCTAGATTGGTTTCCAAAGCAATTTTACTAATTTAAACTCCCATCAACAATGTATAAAGGGATCCTGCTAATCCATGATGCTTCTAATAACTGGCACTCTCAGGTTTTATTTTGAAACTTTATTCTTTTTTTTTGAGACAGAGTCTCGCCCTGTGGCCCAGGCAGGAGTGCAGTGGCGTGATCTCAGCTCACCGCAACCTCTGCCTCCCAGGCTCAAGTGATTCTCCTTCCTCGGGCTCCTGAGTAGCTGGGATTACAGGTATCTGCCGTCATGCCTGGCTAATTTTTTTTGTATTTTTAGTAGAGATGGGGTTTCACCATCTTGCCCAGGCTGGTCTTGAACTCCTGACCTCAGGTAATCCACCCGCCTAGGCCTCCCAAAGCGCTGGGAATACAGGCATGAGCCACTGCGCCCTGCCAACTTTATTTTTTAAAACTAAATTTTATTCAGATCTTGATTTGCATTTTTATAATTGTAATATGGAAAGCATTTCCATTTTTTTTTATTTTTGAGATAATAGCTCATTTATTTTATTTTGTTTTCCCATTGGATTTTTATTGATTTTAAGAGTCTTTTATATATTTGATGTTTTTTGTACATTATATATTTTGAAAATATATTTTCAGAATTTATAAAGTAAAATTATAAATAGAATTCCTTAGCATTAAACTTATTCATCTATTATTTTATGACATTGAGGATAAAATAAAATTGCCCAATGACAAGTACATTATAAAACTTATTAAAACATACAAAATGATTCTTTCTCAGTCAGAGGTCCTGATTAAGCAAAGGCAAAGAGAATGAACAGACCAATAATAAAAGAGAAAATGTAAGAATTTGCAAAACTGATTAGTTTCACTAGCAATAAAAATATGGCAATTAAGATTCTGTGATTACTCCTTCTCAACTACCAAAATAACTACTATTCAAAAATGAAAATATGCTGGATGTTGATGTATTGAACATGTAGTCTATTATCTTGCACCTGAAATTGTGGTCCTTGAGCTAGTGGCATTGGCATCACCTGGTAACTTGTTATAATTTCAGAATCTCAGGCCACATCCAAGATCTAAGTGAATCAGAATCTGAATTTTAACAAGATCCCCATGTGACTCATATGATCACCGAAATTCAAAAACACTGGTCCAATAAAATATTCTGTTTTTAAGACTGTAATGTGTTACAATATTTAGGAAAATAATTCAGTAATATTTACTAAGTACATACACAAATCTCTGTGGTAGTATTGCTTATTGCAGAAAAAAAACAAAAAGTATCTCAAGTGCATGGGAACTGTTAAAAACAAAGCACATCCATGTTATACACTTTTATATAGCCAGTTAAAACATTTATGAAAAGGTTATTAAATAATGGTTGCATGACCAGCTACAAAATCACATATACAGTATAAACTCAAAATGTTTTTACAACTACATGAAAAAAAGTATCAACGGAAAATACATTAATATAAAAGGGTTATTAGCAACTTTCATCATTACATTTTACATACATATTTTACAGGTAATTTTAACAAAATGTAATGGGAGAAATTTTTAATAAAAGAATACTAGGATTCCAGCAAAAATATGGAATTAAATGGATTGTATGTGGTGTTCATATTTGAATTCTTTGATTGTCTGGCTGAGAGTCTCACGTTGCTTATCCAGTCTCTCATCTATTTCGATCTTCTAATCTCACTCTCTACTTAATAACAGTCTCCTGGCTCTTTATCCATGTGCATCACTTAGTGGTTCTTGGCTTGCATGCTTCCTCTTTGCATGACACTTCTCAGTTTTTCTGGCAATAAACTCTCCTTACCTTGGCTCCAAGATGCCCTCACACCTGCCTAGGAAGCTCCACTGATGAGGCGTGGGCATCTTCCCCTCTCTGGATAAGGCACGTGAGTGCTGAACCTGAAAAAGATTGAGTGCTAAACCCAAAAGAATAAAACTTTAAAAACAACATTTATTATTAAGTTTGAGAAGAGATCTGAGAGTAGGAAATTACAGTGAGTGGGTTCTATTTGGATCTGCTAAAATCAGCCAAATTGTAAGGCCAACTTTGAAAACGTGTCATTGCATTCTAATCCAAGCAGACCACCATTCATACCTCATTAACCGTTAGAGGAAGTCTCATTTCCCTCCGGCTTCCACTCATGCATCAGGGTGAAAGCTTGTGTGCCATGATTTATGGAGTTTTCAAGAAAATCTAAGTTTCAAATTGTTAGGTCGGAGAGCAAATATTGACCCTGTACATAAGAAAAAGAAACCAGAACAATTCTATAGGCTTTCCCATCTTAGAGAGCTCTTTCCCACCTTAAATAATTGACAAGAACGTTCACACTAGACAGGTTTTTTCAGCCTTTTTCGGATCTAATAAAGATGAATGAAGAGTGTATGGACACAGTAAAGCTGAGAAACGGGAAGATAAGAAAACAAAGTAGCATTTCAGTAGCTCATATAACAATTTTTTCTGTAGTGAAAGGAAAAATGATCATAAAAAATAGGGGATATAAAACAACGAATGTGCTAACTTCTTAACATCATTTCTATGGAGCAATGATAAATGAAGGGTTTGCATTTGCAGAGAAATGACTAAGACTTTCCAATGGTATTTTATGGTCAGGGTGTGAAAATGTGCAGTAATGACTTGCTTCCTTGTTATTGCGACTTTGGTTTAAGGCTGCTGACTACATATCTTCATGGCTGCCACAGTGAAGAAAATTCCCCTTTCATAACACAAGAAGTTATCTGAAGTAACCTGTAAGTTTTCATCAGCAAAAGTCATTGGCACTGATGAAAATATTCACATCAGGTATGGAAAGGAAGGCATATTGAAATAGAAAAAAAATCAACCAGATGAGGAGTCAAATTTACATAGAAAACCCTCCTCTGTCACACTCTCTTCCTGTCTTTCTTTCACACACATATGGCTAGGTAATTGGAATTGTCAGTTACTTTAAATTATTTAATAACTTATAAAATAAAAGGATTTAGGCCGGGCGTGGTGGTTCACGCCTGTAATCCCAGCATTTTGAGAGGCAGAGGCGGGTGGATCACCTGAGGTCAGGAGTTCAAGACCAGCCTGGCCAACATGGTGAAACCCCGTCTCTACTATATAAAAATAGAAAATTAGGGGGGGAGGAGCCAAGATGGCCGAATAGGAACAGCTCCGGTCTACAGCTCCCAGCGTGAGCGACGCAGAAGACGGGTGATTTCTGCATTTCCATCTGAGGTACCGGGTTCATCTCACTAGGGAGTGCCAGACAGTGGGCGCAGGCCAGTGTGTGCGTGCACTGTGCGCGAGCCGAAGCAGGGCGAGGCATTGCCTCACCTGGGAAGCTCAAGGGGTCTGGGAGTTCCCTTTCCGAGTCAAAGAAAGGGGTGACGGACGCACCTGGAAAATCGGGTCACTCCCACCCGAATATTGTGCTTTTCAGACCGGCTTAAAAAACGGCGCACCACGAGACTATATCCCACACCTGGCTCAGAGGGTCCTACGCCCACGGAATCTCGCTGATTGCTAGCACAGCAGTCTGAGATCAAACTGCAAGGCGGCATCGAGGCTGGGGGACGGGCACCCGCCATTGCCTAGGCTTGATTAGGTAAACAAAGCAGCCGGGAAGCTCAAACTGGGTGGAGCCCACCACAGCTCAAGGAGGCCTGCCTGCCTCTGTAGGCTCCACCTCTGGGGGCAGGGCACAGACAAACAAAAAGACAGCAGTAACCTCTGCAGACTTAAGTGTCCCTGTCTGACAGCTTTGAAGAGAGCAGTGGTTCTCCCAGCACGCAGCTGGAGATCTGAGAACGGGCAAACTGCCTCCTCAAGTGGGTCCCTGACCCCTGACCCCCGAGCAGCCTAACTGGGAGGCACCCCCCAGCAGGGGCACACTGACATCTCACAAGGCAGGGTATTCCAACAGACCTGCAGCTGAGGGTCCTGTCTGTTAGGAGGAAAACTAACAAACAGAAAGGACATCTACACCGAAAACCCATCTGTACATCACCATCATCAAAGACCAAAAGTAGATAAAACCACAAAGATGGGGAAAAAACAGAACAGAAAAACTGGAAACTCTAAAATGCAGAGCACCTCTCCTCCTCCAAAGGAACGCAGTTCCTCACCAGCAACGGAACAAAGCTGGATGGAGAATGATTTTGACGAGCTGAGAGAAGAAGGCTTCAGACAATCAAATTACTCTGAGCTACAGGAGGACATTCAAACCAAAGGCAAAGAAGTTGAAAACTTTGAAAAAAATTTAGAAGAATGTATAACTAGAATAACCAATACAGAGAAGTGCTTAAAGTAGCTGATGGAGCTGAAAACCAAGGCTCGAGAACTACGTGAAGAATGCAGAAGCCTCAGGAGCTGATGCGATCAACTGGAAGAAAGGGTATCAGCAATGGAAGATGAAATGAATGAAATGAAGCGAGAAGGGAAGTTTAGAGAAAAAAGAATAAAAAGAAATGAGCAAAGCCTCCAAGAAATATGGGACTATGTGAAAAGACCAAATCTACGTCTGATTGGTGTACCTGAAAGTGATGTGGAGAATGGAACCATGTTGGAAAACACTCTGCAGGATATTATCCAGGAGAACTTCCCCAATCTAGCAAGGCAGGCCAACGTTCAGATTCAGGAAATACAGAGAACGCCACAAAGATACTCCTCGAGGAGAGCAACTCTAAGACACATAATTGTCAGATTCACCAAAGTTGAAATGAAGGAAAAAATGTTAAGGACAGCCAGAGAGAAAGGTCGGGTTACCCTCAAAGGAAAGCCCATCAGACTAACAGCGGATCTCTCGGCAGAAACCCTACAAGCCAGAAGAGAGTGGGGGCCAATATTCAACATTCTTAAAGAAAAGAATTTTCAACCCAGAATTTCATATCCAGCCAAACTAAGCTTCATAAGTGAAGGAGAAATAAAATACTTTATAGACAAGCAAATGCTGAGAGATTTTGTCACCACCAGGCCTGCCCTAAAAGAGCTCCTGAAGGAAGCGCTAAACATGGAAAGGAACAACCGGTACCAGCCGCTGCAAAATCATGCCAAAATGTAAAGACCATCAAGACTAGGAAGAAACTGCATCAACTAATGAGCAAAATCACCAGCTAACATCATAATGACAGGATCAAATTCACACATAACAATATTAACTTTAAATATAAATGGACTAAATTCTGCAATTAAAAGACACAGACTGGCAAGTTGGATAAAGAGTCAAGTCCCATCAGTGTGCTGTATTCAGGAAACACATCTCACGTGCAGAGACACACATAGGCTCAAAATAAAAGGATGGAGGAAGATCTACCAAGCAAATGGAAAACAAAAAAAGGCAGGGGTTGCAATCCTAGTCTCGATAAAACAGACTTTAAACCAACAAAGATCAAAAGAGACAAAGAAGGCCATTACATAATGGTAAAGGGATCAATTCAACAAGAGGAGCTAACTATCCTAAATATTTATGCACCCAATACAGGAGCACCCAGATTCATAAAGCAAGTCCTGAGTGACCTACAAAGAGACTTAGACTCCCACACATTAATAATGGGAGACTTTAACACCCCACTGTCAACATTAGACAGATTAATGAGACAGAAAGTCAACAAGGATACCCAGGAATTGAACTCAGCTCTGCACCAAGTGGACCTAATAGACATCTACAGAACTCTCCACCCCAAATCAACAGAATATACATTTTTTTCAGCACCACACCACACCTATTCCAAAATTGACCACATACTTGGAAGTAAAGCTCTCCTCAGCAAATGTAAAAGAACAGAAATTATAACAAACTATCTCTCAGACCACAGTGCAATCAAACTAGAACTCAGGATTAAGAATCTCACTCAAAGCCGCTCAACTACATGGAAACTGAACAACCTGCTCCTGAATGACTACTGGGTACATAACGAAATGAAGGCAGAAATAAAGATGTTCTTTGAAACCAACGAGAACAAAGACACCACATACCAGAATCTCTGGGACGCATTCAAAGCAGTGTGTAGAGGGAAATTTATAGCACTAAATGCCTACAAGAGAAAGCAGGAAAGATCCAAAATTGACACCCTAACATCACAATTAAAAGAACTAGAAAAGCAAGAGCAAACACGTTCAAAAGCTAGCAGAAGGCAAGAAATAACTAAAATCAGAGCAGAACTGAAGGAAATAGAGACACAAAAGACCCTTCAAAAAATCAATGAATCCAGGAGCTGGTTTTTTGAAAGGATCAACAAAATTGATAGACCGTTAGCAAGACTAATAAAGAAAAAAAGAGAGAAGAATCAAATAGACACAATAAAAAATGATAAAGGGGATATCACCACTGATCCCACAGAAATACAAACTACCATCAGAGAATACTACAAACACCTCTACGCAAATAAACTAGAAAATCTAGAAGAAATGGATACATTCCTCGACACATACACTCTCCCAAGACTAAACCAGGAAGAAGTTGAATCTCTGAATAGACCAATAACAGGATCTGAAATTGTGGCAATAATCAATAGTTTACCAACCAAAAAGAGTCCAGGACCAGATGGATTCACAGCCGAATTCTACCAGAGGTACAAGGAGGAACTGGTACCATTCCTTCTGAAACTATTCCAATCAATAGAAAAAGAGGGAATCCTCCCTAACTCATTTTATGAGGCCAGCATCATTCTGATACCAAAGCCGGGCAGAGACACAACCAAAAAAGAGAATTTTAGACCAATATCCTTGATGAACATTGATGCAAAATCCTCAATAAAATACTGGCAAACCGAATCCAGCAGCACATCAAAAAGCTTATCCACCATGATCAAGTGGGCTTCATCCCTGGGATGCAAGGCTGGTTCAATATACGCAAATCAATAAATGTTAATCCAGCATATAAACAGAGCCAAAGACAAAAACCACATGATTATCTCAATAGATGCAGAAAAAGCCTTTGACAAAATTCAACAACCCTTCATGCTAAAAACTCTCAATAAATTAGGTATTGATGGGACGTATTTCAAAATAATAAGAGCTATTTATGACAAACCCACAGCCAATATCATACTGAATGGGCAAAAACTGGAAGCATTCCCTTTGAAAACTGGCACAAGACAGGGATGCCCTCTCTCACCGCTCCTATTCAACATAGTGTTGGAAGTTCTGGCCAGGGCAATCAGGCAGGAGAAGGAAATAAAGGGTATTCAATTAGGAAAAGAGGAAGTCAAATTGTCCCTGTTTGCAGACGACATGATTGTTTATCTAGAAAACCCCATCGTCTCAGCCCAAAATCTCCTTAAGCTGATAAGCAACTTCAGCAAAGTCTCAGGATACAAAATCAATGTACAAAAATCACAAGCATTCTTATACAACAACAACAGACAAACAGAGAGCCAAATCATGAGTGAACTCCCATTCACAATTGCTTCAAAGAGAATAAAATACCTAGGAATCCAACTTACAAGGGATGTGAAGGACCTCTTCAAGGAGAACTACAAACCACTGCTCAAGGAAATAAAAGAGGACACAAACAAATGGAAGAACATTCCGTGCTCATGGGTAGGAAGAATCAATATCGTGAAAATGGCCATACTGCCCAAGGTAATTTACAGATTCAATGCCATCCCCATCAAGCTACCAATGACTTTCTTCACAGAATTGGAAAAAACTACTTTAAAGTTCATATGGAACCAAAAAAGAGCCCGCATCGCCAAGTCAATCCTAAGCCAAAAGAACAAAGCTGGAGGCATCACACTACCTGACTTCAAACTATACTACAAGGCTACAGTAACCAAAACAGCATGGTACTGGTACCAAAACAGAGATATAGATCAATGGAACAGAACAGAGCCCTCAGAAATAATGCCGCATATCTACAACTATCTGATCTTTGACAAACCTGAGAAAAACAAGCAATGGGGAAAGGATTCCCTATTTAATAAATGGTGCTGGGAAAACTGGCTAGCCATATGTAGAAAGCTGAAACTGGATCCCTTCCTTACGCCTTATACAAAAATCAATTCAAGATGGATTAAAGATTTAAACATTAGACCTAAAACCATAAAAACCCTAGAAGAAAACCTAGGCATTACCATTCAGGACATAGGCGTGGGCAAGGACTTCATGTCCAAAACACCAAAAGCAATGGCAACAAAAGCCAAAATTGACAAATGGGATCTAATTAAACTAAAGAGCTTCTGCACAGCAAAAGAAACTACCATCAGAGTGAACAGGCAACCTACAACATGGGAGAAAATTTTCGCAACCTACTCATCTGACAAAGGGCTAATATCCAGAATCTACAATGAACTCAAACAAATTTACAAGAAAAAAACAAACAACCCCATCAAAAAGTGGGCAAAGGACATGAGCAGACACTTCTCAAAAGAAGACATTTATGCAGCCAAAAAACACATGAAAAAATGCTCATCATCACTGGCCATCAGAGAAATGCAAATCAAAACCACTATGAGATATCATCTCACACCAGTTAGAACGGCAATCATTAAAAAGTCAGGAAACAACAGGTGCTGGAGAGGATGTGGAGAAATAGGAACACTTTTACACTGTTGGTGGGACCGTAAACTAGTTCAACCATTGTGGAAGTCAGTGTGGTGATTCCTCAGGGATCTAGAACTAGAAATACCATTTGACCCAGCCATCCCATTACTGGGTATATACCCAAATGACAATAAATCATGCTGCTATAAAGATACATGCACACGTATGTTTATTGCGGCATTATTCACAATAACAAAGACTTGGAACCAACCCAAATGTCCAACAATGATAGACTGGATTAAGAAAATGTGGCACATATACACCATGGAATACTATGCAGCCATAAAAAATGATGAGTTCGTGTCCTTTGTAGGGACATGGATGAAATTGGAAACCATCATTCTCAGTAAACTATCGCAAGAACAAAAAACCAAACACCGCATATTCTCACTCATAGGTGGGAATTGAACAATGAGATCACATGGACACAGGAAGGGGAATATCACACTCTGGGGACTGTGGTGGGGTGGGGGGAGGGGGGAGGGATAGCATTTGGAGATATACCTAATGCTAGATGACGAGTTAGTGGGTGCAGCGCGCCAGCATGGCACATGTATACATATGTAACTAACCTGCACAATGTGCACATGTACCCTAAAACTTAAAGTATAATAAAAAATAAAAAAAAATTAAAAATAAAAAATAAAAAAATAAAAATAAAAATAGATAATTAGCCAAGTATGGTGACATACGCCTGTAATCCCAGCTACTTGGGAGGCAGAGACAGGAGAATTGCTTGAACTCAGGAGGCAGGGGTTGCAATGACGTGAGATCGTGCCACCGCACTCCAGCCTGGGGACAGAGTAGGACTCCGTCTCAAAAAAATTAAAATAAATAAATAAAATAAAAGGATTTAAGGTATGATTACTATAAAAGTTAGAAAATAAAACCAATATAAAAAATGAAATAAAATCATCTAAAATGCCACCACTCTGAAACAAGGATTATTCATATTTATACATACATACTTCCAGATGCATACACACATATGTGGAATTTCACTGTACAAATATTTTGTACATATATTTTCTTTGTAAAGAAAGTAACAAAAGTGCTTTCCAGGTGGATTCAAAATAGGCATTGTTATTATCAATACTACATAACTCATCGTATCAATACATCATAAAGTGCTGAATTTCTCAAATTTTTGACATCAATGTTGTTTCCAGTCTTAAAATACTATGTAATAAAATCTGTATTTAATGTATTTGTAAATACATTATTTAAAAATCCATTTTTACGTTTACACAGAAAATTTCTAAAATCATAATTGATTTTCCAAAGAGTTTTCATATTTTAAAAACCTTTATGCATGTTGTTATATTTTAACCCAAAAGAATTTACCAAGTTAATCTGCATTTAACACTTCTGGTATACAATCAACACAACATATGATATTAACATTCTTTCAAATTTTTTAATCTATGAGATATAGGTATGTTTTTATTTTAATTTATGCTTTTGAAGAGTCAAACTATTGTGTAATTTTTTCTATTTTATTGTTACTTTTGTGAATGTTTATTTTTCTATTGAGACAATAGTTTTCATTGCAAAATGTATATATTAAAATTACTATATCATCACTCATTGAAAATTTAAGTAATGACTGTATATTATATAAAATTGGAAAATAAACGTAAGCAAAGCATAAGAAAAAACACAGAAATATGAATGATTTTTAAGAAAAGCATGTGTGACCCCTGAACAGTGAAGTCATGTTTTGGTGAAAGTTTGTCTGTTTGATGACTGGGCATATCTTTATAAGGGTTATAAAACAACAAAAAAGAGAAAAATATATGGGTAACCTTTTCAGAGTAAAGTAATATTTTGGTGAAAATTTATCTATTTTGGGAATAAAAACAAAAAAATAAGGAAAATGTTAAAGAAATCAAGCTCTTATAAAACAATAGATCCATACAGTTTAGACCCTGAAAATATCTCTATATAAATAAACTAAAACTTTTGGAAATGGCAAATAAGTACTTGATAAATATAAATGGAAAATTCAACATTAACAAAAAATGGTTAATCAAAAGAAAAACTGCAAGTATATACAAAGCCAAATGATTCTAAAATGATGAAAAACATAATTTTGTTCAACCTTACCAGTAAAGAGAAGTCATTTTTATAGTAAAATACATTGCGTCATATTAACTAAGTCAATACAAATTATGATAAGAACAGTGGTAATTATAAGGACAATCACCAGCATTGATAAGTGTAAAGGAAAAGAAGCACACATATAGAAAAATGGATTGGTTTGCAAAAAGAAAACAAGACAAGCATATGAGAAGATGCTCAGTATCACTAATCTTTAGGGAAATTCAAATCAAAGCCACAAGGTATCACCTCACATCCAGTAAAAAGGCTATTAGCAAAGAAAAAAAGCTGAAAATAACAAGTGTTGTCAAGGATGTGGAGAAATTGGATCATTTGTGCACTGTTGTTGGGAATTTAAAATGGTACAGCAGCCATGAAAAACAGTATGTTTGTTTATCGAGAAATTAAAAATGGAACTACCACATGACCAGCAATTCCACTTCTGGATATATATCCAAAAGAAGTTAAAGAACAATCTCACAAGATGTTTGCACACCCATGCTCATAGCAGCGTTATCCACAATAGCCAATAAGCAGAAGGCACCCAAGTGTCCATCAGTGGATGAATGGATAAACAAAATGTGGTCTATATGTAAAATAGAATAATATTCAATCTTTAAAAGGAAGGGAATTCTGACATATTATAACATGGTGGAAGTCTTAGGACATTATACTAAGTAAAGTAAGCCAATCACAAAAAGACAAAAACAAATGGTTCCACTTATACGAAGTACTTAGATTCATAGAAACAGAAAGTAGAATAGTGATTGCCAGAGGCTTATGGGAAGGGAAAATTATTAGTTGTTTAATGAGTATAGAATTTCAATTTCATCTTTAAGATTAAAAATTGTGGAAATTGGTTGCACCACTATACAAATATTATACCTAACATTACTAAATCGCATGCTTACACATGAATTGCATGGTCAATTTTATATGTTTTTTATCACAATAAAAAATAATTAAAAAATAAACAACAGAATAACAATGTTGCAAAATACATACAAATCTAAAAATATGTATGGGCTTTGATAACACAAATGTTATTTTAATAAATATTATAGACATATAAGTCCATTTACACAGATAATTATTTAAAATATTTAAAAGTTTGAAGCAACCAAAATATAGAAAGACACGTCAACAAGATGAAATGCTCATTAAAAATTTTATATTGGAATACAATTTCAGGGTAATGTTTTGTTCTGGTCATAACAAGATAACTATTATCAGAATTACATTACTGTCATAAACAACTATAACAGGTTGACAAAATATAAAAAGCAACTCTTTACAGATGCTGTATTCAACCAAAGTAGGCTTATGATTTTTGACACAGGTATTTACCATGGATTTTTCCCTGAGGGCATTAATCAAACCAGAAATTTCACAAAATAATATATATAAATGCCGATTGTTAATGGGTACAAAAAATAGAAAGAATGAATAAGACCTACTATTTGATAGGACAACAGGGTGACTATAGTCAGTAATATCTTAACTGTACATTTTAAATTAACTTAAAAAGTGTAATTGGATTATCTGCAACACAATGGATACATGCTTGAGGTGATGAATACCCCATTCTTCATGATGTGCTTATTTCACATTAAAAAGATTGAAATCATGCAAAATATCTTCTTTGGATACAATTGTGTAAAGCTAGAAATCAATAACAGAAGAAAAACTGGAAAATTCACAAATAAGTGGGAATTAAAATTGAAGCAACTATAACAAGAGATAATAGAAAATATGTAGAAATCACACAATAAATTAGAAAATAACATATAGATTAATGAAAATGAAAATACAACATATCAAAATACCATGTCAAGAAATTACATAACTTAGATAAGAAAGAAAAATTTTTGGAAACATATGGATTACCAAAACTGACACACACAAAAATGGAAAGTCTGAACAGTCCTATAACACGTAAAGATATTGAATCAGTAATAAAACTTCTCCCGCTGGGCACGGTGGCTCACGCCTGTAATCCCAGCACTTTGGGAGGCCGAGGTGGGCGGATCACGAAGTCAGGAGATCAAGACCATCCTGGCTAACACGGTGAAACCCTGTCTTTACTAAAAAATAGAAAAATTAGCCGGGCGTTGTGGCAGGCGCCTGTAGTCCCAGCTACTCGGGAGGCTGAGGCAGGAGAATGGTGTGAACCCAGGAGGCAGAGCTTGCAGTGAGCCAAGATTGCACCACTGCACTCCAGCCCGGGTGACAGAGCGAGACTCTGTCTCAAAAAAAAAATAAAATAAATAAAATAAAACTTCTCCCCACACAAAACATCCAGGGCCAGAAGGCTTCAACTGGTGAATTCTACCAAACATTTAAATAATTAATATTAATTATTCTCAAGCTCTTCTAACAAGTATTATAGGTGGGAACATTTACCTTATTCTATATAGCCAACACTGCCCTGATACCAAGCCAGATTAAGATATCACATGAAAAGAAAATTACAGAATAATATGTCTTATGAATAGAAATGCAAAATTCTTCAACAAAATACTGGCAAATCTATTACAACACCATATTATAAAGGATGACCAATATGCCCAACTGAAATTTTTCCCAGGAATGAAATGTCAGTTCAATATAAGAAAATCAATGTAATACATCACATTAATAGAATGAAGAAAAAAATTATCATCTCAGTTCATGCAGAGAAAACATTTGGCAAAATCCATTACCTTTCAAGATAAAAAACAAACAAAAATCTCAGAAAATTAGGACTAGAAGAGAACTTCCTCAACAGGATAAAGGGCATTTATGAATAACTCACTGCTAACAGCATACTTAGTGGTAAAAAACTGAAGATTTCCCCTAAGATCAGGAACAAGACAATCATGCCCCCTTTCACCTCAACAAAATATTAGCAAATCAAATAAGCAAAGTACAAATAAGTAATCATGATGACGAAATGGGATGTCCTTCAGGCACGTTAAGTGTGGTTTAACATTCAGTATCAATCAGTGTAATCTGCCACATGAACAGACTAAGAAAAATAATATGATATCGCAATTAACACAGAAATACAACACATATTCATAATAGAAACTCTTAGCAAACTAGGAATAGACACAAAATTTCTTAAGTTAATAAAAGGCATTCACAAAATAACCACAATTACCATCATATTTAATGATGAGAAAATGAATGCTTTTTCTCTAAGACTGGAAATAGTTAAGGATGTCCTCTTTCACTAGGACTATTTATCATCCTATTAGAAGTCATAACTAGTGCAACTACACAAGTAAAGTAAAAGATACAAAGATTGAAGGGAAGAAATACAACTGATTTTCTTCATAGGTGACCCAATTGTCTATATAGAAATTTTTAAAGAGTTGAGAAAAAAAATTCCTGTAACTACGGAGTATAGCAAGGTCACAAATTATGGGATTAATATACAAACACCTATTGTTTTCCAAGTGAACAATTGGAATTTGAAATTGAAAAAATGATCTCATTCATTATAACACAGCAAAATGAAATAGTGAGGTATAAATCTAATACTATATGTATAAGACTTACATGTTGAAAATTACAAAACTGTGATGAGGTAAATAAAAGGAGATCTAAATAAATGAGAGATACTTTATGTTCATGGATTGGAAGACTCGATATTTTTATGTGAATTCTTCCCAATTTGATCTTCAGATTCAACACAATCCCAGTTAAAATGCCAGAAAGCTATTTTGTAGATATCTTTACAATTATTCTAAAGCTTATTTGGAAAGGCAAAGTTCCTAGAATGAGTAACACAATACTGAAAAGTAAAAAGTTAGAGGATCTGCAGTACAGATTTCAATATTTATTTTAAAGCTGTAGTAATCAAGACCATGCAATATTGGCAAAAGAATAGACATATAGATTAATGGAACAAAATAGAGTGAACAGTGGTTGCAAACAATGGAAAAATAACATGTTAAAATATTTACAGTAACCCACAACGATTATATTAACACAAAATACTTAGAAAAAATTAACAATATATATGCAATAGCTAAATACTAAGAAATACAAAACATCGCTAAAAGAAAGTAGAGTAGCTCTATCCAATACAATATAACCAGAAAGGTAAAATAAACACAACAATGATCACAAAGAATTACAACTGTCTCTACTTGCACAGAACATCATTTTTACACAGAAAATCCTCAGCCTCTGCAAAACACTATGAGAATTGAAAAGAGAAGTTAGTAAAGTGACAGCATGCATGCTTAATGTACAAAAATCAATAGTATTTTATAAATAAGTAGCAAACAATTGGAAAATAAACTTTTTAAATATTTATAAACACATATAAAACCTTTGAAAAAATTAAAGGGCATTCAATACCTAAACTGCGCAATTCACCATCAAAATATGGAAGGTATTGTTGCAAACACTAACAAGCTGATTCTAAAATATATAGGGAATTCTGTAAAATATAGAATACTCAAAACAATTTTAAAAAGAAAAACAAAGCTGGGAAATACACAAAACAAAATTTCAAAAACATTGTGCTGGAACAACTGGATATCTGTACAGCACAAAACAACATCAACATAACTTAATACCACAGAGAAAAATTAAGTTGAAATTTAATGACCTAAATGTAAAAGCTAAAAAGATAAAATTCTTGTAAGAAAACACAAAGATATTTGTAACCTGTATTTAGAACATTGAAATCATTAAATATAAAGAGAAAATAATAATAAAATGGATTTTATCAAAATTAACAACGGCTACTTTTCAAAAGACGCCAACAAAAAAACAAAACAAATTCCACCAAAGAAAACATAAAGGTAAGGCATATTTTCCAGATTTACAATACAAACATTGAATAAAGAACATAATTTTTCAAATGAATATTTAAACAAAGATTTCACAAAATAATATATATAAACAGGGATGGTTAATGGGTACAAAATATAGTTAGAAAGAATGAATAAGGCCTACTATTTGATAGCACAACAAGGTGACTATAGTCAATAATATCTTCACTGTACATTTTAAACTAACTTAAAAAGTGTAATGGGATTGTTTGCAACACAATGGATAAATGCTTGAGGTGATGGATACCCCATTCTTCACGATGTGCTTATTTCATATTGCATGCCTGTATCAAAACATCTCATGCACCCCATAAATATAGACACTATGTACCCAAGAACATTAAAAAGAACAAAGAATATGTAAAAATGTAGCCAAATAGCACACATAAATATGTTCATCATTATTAATCAGTAAGAAAATGCAAACTTAAACCACCATGAGGTATCACCACATAAGTAAGAAAATCTGTAAAGATTAAAAAAAATTATACTTTTGTAAAGCTACAGACCAACTAACTAGAATTCTTATGCATGGCTGATAGTTACATAGAATTGTACAAACACTTTACAAATGGTTTGGCAATTTCTGAAAAAGTTAAATATATACCTAACATATGACTCAACAACTCCATTCCTATGTATTTAATGAATACATATGAGAAATGAAAACATATGTCAACCCAAAGACTTGTAAAAAATGTTCAGTTTTACTCATAAAAGCCAAAAATTAGGAACTACCCAAATGTCCATCAACCGGGAAATGTAAAAATAAAATGTGGTAGAGCCATATGATAGAATGCTACTTAGAAATAACAAGAAACTACTACTGATGCATGAAGCATCATAATTGAATCTGAATTTTTTATGCTTAGTGAAGGAAACCAGATAAATATATATATCGTAGGATTCCATTTCCATGAAATGCAAACTAATCTATAGTGACAAAACGTGGATCAGTGCTTGCCTATGGGTGAGGGTAGAGTTTGGGATCATTACAAAGGGCATAAAAAATGGTTCAGGGCTTGATAGAAACATTCCATATCTTGGTTGTGATGATGGTTTTGTAGTTTTACATAACTGTCAAAACCAACTAAATTGTGCAATTTAAATTGATACAGTTTGTTATAAGTATCATATTTCTCCACAAAGATGATAAGAAAAAATAAAGACAAAAAAAAAAAGACCCAAAAAAGTTCAACATTCTTATATATGTCTTGGGCAGGAGTCCCATGAGACTGCTAAAGGAAGTTTTCATAACAAAATAAAATAAACCATGGAACTTCAGCAAGTTCCATGATAAAATTTTTAAGAAGGTAAATATAAAAATAAAAAGGTATAAATGTAAAATATAAAAAATGTAAATACAAAATGATCTCTACCTGTTTAAAATAATAATAATAATATTTGGAGGGAGTTATAAAATTTGAGATGAATAACACATTAAAACAATGGTAAAAACGATGGGAGAGGCTAAACGGAGTTAAACTTTTATAAGTTTCTTCCAGTCTTGTAAACTGATAATAGTAATAATTTGAAGTTGACTGTAACAAATTAAAGTATTATATTGCAGTCTCTAGAATAACTCTTATAAGCATGATTTTAAAAATACTTTAAAGCTATTAAAGGAAAAAATAAAATAATTTTAAAATACTTGACTAACATAAAAGAAAGGAAGAAATGAACAAAGAATGGATGGGACAAGAAAAACTTACAGCAAGGTAGTCAACTTCAACTCAAAGTAGTTCAAGTTCTACTTGAACTCAGATATATCAGTAATTTACATTAAAAATAAGTGGTATAGTCTAACTAATCATGAAGATTACCAGAAAGGATTAACAAAACAACAACAACTAGGTGCTAGAAAAGACATACTTTAAATATTATGGCACAAGAACAAACAAAAATTTAAACACTAACCAAAAATATTAAATGAATATGAGACAAATCAGACATCAAATAAGTAATATTACAAGATATGAATGGGTACCTTTTATAATCATGAAAGAGTATAAAGTTGGGGAGGAAAAGAAATATTAACAGGTTTCTTTTAAAGTTGTAAAGGTCCATGGCTCTCTTTCCTTGTAGAAATTTCCACTGTCAGAGGAAAAGCTCTCAGTAACCATGTTCAGCTCAGCCCCAACCCCTGCCAAATAGCTACAAAATTAACTGAGACCTCAGAAACTAGTAATAGAAGTGCCTAAATGAAATGTTAACTGAACTCTGTAGCTCTCAAAACACACAGACATACACATATAAACAAACACACAGGTGTAAGGAAGACACATTACATCAACTTCTTTGAACTTGCTTATATGAAGGCAAAACTCACAAGAATTTACAACCACTCTCCCAAAATCTGGCAATTCCTAAATCATCATCACAAAGTAGCTTCCCCTAACATGTCATCTTCCCAATAAAGTATTAAGAGAAAGGGGGTCTTTGGCCTTTTCAGCATACATTCAAGCACAAATGTCTGTCTGAAACCTGCCCAATAGTTGCATAGACAGTTGTTTTGGGATAAACATAGAAATTGACCCTTCTGTTGTTAAAGCTTGAGACTTGATTTGTTTTATCTGAGTTTTTTTTCCTCAGGAGAGGACCTTCAGGCCTCTCAAAGAAGTATCAAAGAACTGAAACTCACCAGATCACAGCACCAGATGCCTCCTTGCCCCTCCCTAGTTCCTGTTTTCTTACACACTTTTACATTTCCTCCCAGCTATATAAACCACTAGTTTTACTCAGGCAGATGGATTTGAGACTGAGCTCCCATCTCCTCTGCTGCAGCACCTAATTAAAGCCTTTTCCCTTGGCAGTAATCATTGTCTCAATGACTGGCTTTCTGTGCAGAGAGCTGCAGGACCTAGATGGAACCCCTGGTGTTTCAGTAGTGTCCACCCACCCAATCTCTATAGACATAAGAGAATGTTAAAATCTGATGGCTTTGAACAATAACTTGGGTTAAGGTTTTATAATTTCTAACTTAGTCTTTCACTTCTAACATTTTTCCAAGTTCTTCATTAAGGTATCAAGGACATGTAATATTTTCACAATCAGAATGAAAGGTCTTTGTATACTTGCATGGGTTTACAGTTGGATTTTTCTTTCTTTTTTTAACTTTTATTTGAAGTTCAGGGGTACATGTGCAGGATGTGCAGGTTTGTTACATAGGTAAATACGTGTCATGAGGGTTTGTTGTACAGATTATTTCATCACCCAGGTATTAAGCCTTGTATCCACTAGTTATTTTTCCTGATCTTCTCCCTCCTCCCACCCTCCACCCTCTGATAGGACACACTGTATGTTGTTGCCCTCTATGTGCCCATGTGTTTTTATCATTTAGCTCCCACTTATAAGTGAGAACATGCAGTATTTGGTGTTCTGTTCCCGGAGTTTTCAATAGCTCTCCAATCTACCTCTCTTCATCTCCATCTGCACCTTCCAGGTCTAAGCTACTATTGTCTGTCATTTAAACTACTGTCATAGGCTAAGTACAGTGGCTCTGGCCTGTAATCCCAGCACTTTGGGAGGCCAAGGCAGGAAGATCCCTTGAAGCCAGGAGTTCAAAATCAGCCTGGGCAACAAAGTGAGACGTCTGTCTCCACAATAAATAAATAAATAAACAAACAAACAAACAAACAAACTACTGTCATGTTTTTTAACTGTGTTACCACATCGAACTTGAGTCTACTCACCCAGTGGGTAGATAAGTCTAGATAAAGAAGTCAGCACCTGTATATAGCATATACACTAAATCTAGAGTGAAAAAGTTTATCAGTTCTCAACAAGACTTGCCACCAGATTTCCCAAAAGCACAAAAGTTCCTAGACCTTTCAGGATTAAAAGTTAAAATTTTAGAATGTTTGGTGAAGTTTAATATTGGTCAATTTTGAAAGAAGTAATGTAAAAGGAAATCTTTCCTTACCTCTGTAAATAGGTAAGTGTTAAGTGAATTCACAATAAAGTACCAAAGTAAAGATGCATCTTACTTTGTCTAATGACAACATTTCAGCATCAGTGAGAATAGTTCGAGAAGCACACAAAGGGTCCCCACACCTAATCCCAGACAATTTGGGTTTCACTCAAGCAAGTACATTACTTAGGCCTAATGAGCTGTAACTCCCATCCAGCTGTGATTCTCAGGGAGAGTTGGTGATAGCTTGAGCCATCCTGGATAACACAGGAGAGAGAGAGAGAACCTATTCCAGACATGAGTGAGCAATGAAAATATTATATAGTGTGGAGTAAAACAAAACAAAACAAAAAAAACAAGAATTCACTAGGATCTATAGCCAAATACAGTTGAACTAGAAACACAATCTTATGCCTACAACTTGAAATATATGAAGAGCCGACCCCTCTTCTCCCTCTTTAATCTTTGGTAAAAGTGAGTAAAAGCAAACAAAGAATGATTTTTTTCTTGCACAAGCATCAGGTATGCTTTAAAACTAATATGAAATGGAAGGTGAACAGATGAAGCTTCACCAGCAACACAGGAATTTCTGGATATTTCAGCTCTTGTGGCCCATAGTAGCTGCACTATTCCTGGAACAGCTCTAAAAAGTTATCCAAGGAAGAAAGTTTCCACAAACTACTGAGAGAAGCAGTGACTTTTTTTCTCAGCACATCTTAGATTGTTTGTTCAAAGTGAGATTAGTATATTTGTCTGTTGGCTTTCACATCTTTTCAGTCGTGGAGATGATAAAAGACAGCCACATTAGGAGTGCAGCAAGAAACAGATGGTTCTCTTTGTACCAATGGAATGAAAGAAACCAACAAAAATACTCTCCTTGACCAAACCTGAGCCAGGCTCTTTTGAGACCTCTTCTCAACTAGGCCTTGACCTTGACTCTGTCCTTGGCCTGGTTGCTCCAGTTTTAGTAAGAATCCTGATGGCCTAGTTTAGGGAAAATACTTACCCACAATATCTGATCAAATTGCTCATTCTCTACCCTCAATATTTTGTCAACCTGGCCTGTAATCAGCAAGAATTCTGCCAGATTGGTTTATCCAGAATTCCCCTCTCCCCTGATGTTTCCCCTTAATAATTTTTCATCCACTGACCCCTACCCTACTTCTCATCTATAAATTCCTGCTTGTCCTTATTATATTTGGAATTGGGCCCAAACTGTCCCCCCTACTGCAAAAGCCCCATTGCAGTATCTCCTTTGGAATACAATCTTTCTTACTATCTTTAACAAGTGTTACGAAAACATTTTTCTTTCATAAACATAACTAGCACAGTTATCTCCAAGTCAGGATCCCTGGACTGTCTAGCAGTAACCATCTACTTTAGTCTATGACCAAGCAATAAACACTTTGGAGCACCAGTGAGAAGAAACTTTAGAAAAAAATAACAAAAGATGACCTAAAGTGGAAAAAAAAAAAAAGGGTGGTCCCCAAGGGTCAAATGGAGCATTTCATATGGAAATAGCATTTGTCTGGGAATCAGAAGAGCTGTGATGGCTTCTGACCTCTATCACCTACTGCCTGTTTGATTTAAAGTGAGACACTAAATATCTGCAAACACCCACCAGTTATTTTACAATAAGTTGTCTACATCATTGGATTGTTATTTTAAAGACTAATTCTGTCAACTTTATATGTAAAATATGGATATTTGATATTATTATGCTCATTTTTTTTACATAGCCAAAAGAAAAAACTATTTTTATGGATTGTTTGTGAGCAATTCACTTTCTGGAATCCCAGAGCACTAGAAGAGGCTACATATGATTTATATTTGTTTCAAAAATTCACCCTAACTATGCTCACTAGAAGCGTAAATCAGCATTCATAAATGCGCAGTTTGCCCTTTCCAGTTCCTTGTTCATTTAAATGTTATATAGATTTTTAGAATCTTTTATTCTTATAACTTTACTCAGTGAAAAATTCATGATTTACATTTTGGCACATATCACTTATGTCCTTAAACTGCCATTAAAAAATCATGATTCAGTTAATATATCTGTGTACCTCAGAAAACTAGGTTCAAAGAATCACCTTAGTACATGGTTTTACTTCCTCACTGAAGAACATATGAAATATCTAAATACTCTGCCCAGCATACACCTTCAGAAACATTTGAAGAGTGGGGAAACTCTCCATCTCTAGAGTTCCTCCTTTGGTATGCTACAAAAGGCTTCAAAAACCACCTTGTAAACTATACGGTTTTAAAGCTGAACAACTTGAAATCTGGCAAAGTTAAACAATTTTTCCAAGGTGTCTTATTGATTTAAGTTATTAAAATAAAGTACAAAATCAAATACATATGATGTGGCTTCTAAACCCCCAAGGGCCAGTTTTACTCTACCCAATCCCTCTATTCATTTAAAATAAATAAATAAACAAATAAAAGACTCTTGGGAGTAACACTGGATACTGTAAAAAAAAACTTCCAGCTTCTTTAAATAAGGATTTAAGGGTAAAACTAAGGATATCTGTAACCACCCAATGGGTTCTTCTTTCCTGCTGCCCAGATAGAGCTGATATGTCAAGGCAGGGAGATTGCAATGGAGAAATAGTTTAATTCACGCAGAGCCGCAGAATGAGAGACTGGAGTTTTATCATTACTCAAATCAGTCTTTCCAAGAATTCAGGGGCTAAGGTTTTTCAAAGGTAGTCTCCGGGAAGAGGTGGGGTTGGCTGCTGATTGGTTGGGGGGGTTGCAATCATAGGGGTGTTGGAAATGATCCTCCTGCAGGCTGAATCACTTCTGGGTGGAACCACAGGAACAGTAGGTGGGTACAGGTGGAACCATCATTGGTGGATCCTGGTCAGGCAGTAGGTGTCTGACATGCAAAAAACCTGCAAAGATATCTCAAAATGCAAATCTTAGGTTCCACAATAGTGATGTTATTTGCAGTAGCAACCGGAGAAGACAGATGCCTGTCTTAAAACCTCTGGAATAATGCCTGACAATTGTTTATGTCTGTGCCTTAGCAGGGTTCAGGCTTCTCTCCTTCTCCTAGCCTGGTGGCTTCTCATTAGCTTTACAAATGCAGTTGAGTTTTGGGTATTATCATTTAAACTGTAAACTAAATGTCTCCCAGTGCTAGCCCAGGAATAATCAAAGGCAGTTGGAGGGCTAAAGGCATGATGAGAATTGGCTAGATTTTCTCACTAATTTTGCAAAGGCAGTTTCATATCAATGAAGAAAAAAGAGTAGATGAAAGGTTATGTCCTAGAGGAGTGGCCTCTGCCTTGACTAGGGAAGGGTTTATTAAAACCTGTGAAGGGACTCTAAGCATTATTTGAGCACCACCTAGAAACCAACTTTGATCTAAAAATCTTTAAAATTTTTATGTATACATTATACCAAACTCCTGAGTATCATCTCCTTCTAAATGTGTCTAACTTAGAGGGACTATTTCTCTGAGAATCTAAGCATTCAATAATCTATTTTTGTGTGTTAATTAACACTGCAGACATTTAAATTCTCAATAATTGAATCAGCTAGCTGGACATCATGGTTTTATTTTGTCTTTAAGGTACTAGAGATGAAGATTGTATGCATCTGCCACATGAAATCCCTTCTCTGCTAGGATTTCTCAGATTTTCTTTCTTGTTTCTTGCCTTCTGGGAAAGAAAGAAAGAAGAAAGAAAGAAGGAAAAGAAGGAAAGAAGGATGGAAGGAAGGAAGGAAGGGGGGGGAAAGAGAGAGGAAGGGAGAAGGGGAAGAAGAGGAAAGGGGACACGTTCAACATAAAACTCTGTTTCTAAAGAGAAGGGAAAACATTTGTTTAGGAGCCAGTTAAACAGGTGTACAAGGCAATGAGGCTAAAGACTTGGAAAAAGGTTTTCCATTAGTATGATATAAGCTGACATTTAAAAATTTACCCACATTGTCTAAATCTCATTACAGATAATAGTTTTATTTATTATTTCAGCCTCAAAGATGAGAAAGTTGAAGTTAACAGGGCTGGAATACATGCCAAGCTATTAAATAACAGAGGCTGAATTGCACCCAAGACTATCTACTCCCCAGCCGACTTTGCTAGTCACTACTCTGTGATGATGTCGATGAAAAGAGTCAAACCCTGTAAAATATTTGAAGAGATTTATTCTGAGCCAAATATGACTGACCGTGGCTGTGACACAGCCCTCAGGTCCTGAGAAAATGTGCCCAAGGTGGTTGGGGTGCAACTTGGTTTTATACAGTTTAGGGAGACATGATACTTCAATCAAATACACTTAAGAAATACATTGGTTTGGTTCAGAAAGGCAGGACAACTTGAAGTGGGGGGTGATTCCAGGGTATAGGTAGATTTTTAAATTTTCTAGCTGATGATTGGTTGAGTTTGTCTGAAGGCCTGGGATCTGTAGAAAGGAAACGTCTGGCTTAAGAAGATTGTGGAGCCCAAAGTTCTTATTGTGCAGAGGAAGTCTTCAGGTAGCAGGCTTCAGATAAAATAGATTGCAAATGCTTCTTATTAGACTGAAGTTCTGTGTTGATATTAATGCCAGAGTGATAATAACAAGGATGCCTGATCCCCATTTCCCGTCATTGTTCCCAGACTGAACCGAGGGTTGGGCTGCTTATTCTCATGGCCCAATAACGAGATGCAGATGAAATGGGAAAGAAGAGAGTTTACTTCTATAACCGGGTACAGGGAGAAGTCCGGGGAAATATTGCAAGACCAACTCAAAATTACAAAGTTTTCCACCGCTTATCTACCTTGTAAGTTTTATGTCTACATGTAAGCGTGCATTCATCTAAGGACATAAGTGATTAACTTCTTCCGATCTCTAACTAAGATCTGAGTCCTGAAGACCTTCCTCTGGAGCCTCAGTAAATTTGCTCAATCTAGATGCATCCAGATAGCTGGGTGATTACCCTTATCTTGTCTCCTGCTAAATCATGGAGGTTGGGGAGTTCCTTTAGACCCCAATAAAACTTGTTTGTGGTGGTCTGGAGAGTTCCTCAAGACCCCCAATAAAACTTGTTTAATCCTAAACTGATCCTGTTATGATTTTCTCTGTTATCTTGTCATGCTTCAAGGCCCAGGAAAGGCCTAGGCAAAACTCTTGGTGGGCTTTTGTTACATTCCAGCGTTTGTAGAAGGGCACTGGCTCTATCAGCTTTTAATATTTAACTTAACCAGTTAGTCAGTGCTGAAAGAGTTGCCATGGAGGCCTGCCTGTTCAACAGTTAGTGAGACCTGGCTTGCCACATCAAGGCCTGAGCCAGTCTTTGAGGTTATATTTTAAGAGTGCCCTGGCTGAGGAGGAAGTCCATTCACTGGTTGGGGTGCCTTAGAATGTTATTTTGGGCTTACAAAGGTAAGCTGGAATTCTTTTTACTTCCTAGGAACAGTGATATCATTACTATGGTGATGAACATATTTGTTTTACTACATTTTTAAGTAAGCCAAATTGTCTTTTGGTAAAGTAAGAGAATGGTATTCAGTGCCTCTATTGGGATTAAGTAGTGATAGCTTTTCGACCTACAAAGGCAGTTCAGTGTACCAAAAAGAGCCTGCAAGTGCAAATCACAGTGACACACATTTCTCTGCTGTTTTCACAATTTGTACAGCCTAGCCAAATTGCTGATCTCCACTGAGCCTCAATTTGCTTTTCTAAATGGGAGAAATCAACACCATAGAGAACTCTGTTACCTCCCTACAGCTGATATGAAATACTATGACTACTGTTTCTCTAACCACAATATTTCCTTTTTTAGTATTTACACATTTCTCATTTTAATGTTTCTGGCTCTGAAATATTTCTTACAATCTATGTATATAGTTAGTGTGAGGATATGGTTTTCTTTTTTTATTTCCTGAGAAGTTGTCATTAAATTGCTGGTATGCCTTACAATGAATGAGATCTCCGGACCCAAAAAACACAGAACCTAAAGTCACCAAGGTGGTGACTACACACTATGGTTAAAGGGTCTTAATAGGAAAAGTCAACTCATACAAAAAATAAAAATAAAAAAGGGTTTTTTTTTAAATTGATGTCCACAACATTTTGATTATCTCTAATAGGGCCAAATTATTTAATTTGCAAAGAAGTTTTAGTAAATAACAAGTCTTTGTCTGTATAACTAATATAAAAAACTTATCTCCTGTTTTAAAAATGAGCCAACAGATTTAGAAAGGTTCATAGTTATAGAATCATTAAGTCTGTCCTTCCATTTCTTCCAAGTATCCATTACTCTTACTCTTCTTCTATAGATAAGGGCTTAGAAGCCAGAAGGTATATTAAGAAAGCTGTTGAAATAATTTAAGTTAAAAATAAAAGGAACCTAAAGCATTTGGCAGCAATGAGACTGTAGAAGAGGGGAAAGAATAAGAATGTTTCCGGAGTAGAATCAATAGAATTCCATAAGAGAATACAGGAAATCCATGAGGGAAACAGACCTCTAGACTGAAGGATTAAAGACTTTCTCACTTACTTAGATGCTACTTGTTCATCATGTAACTTAAATGACAACCTGCCTTTTAGCGATTGTCAGCCACCTACTGATAGAGAAGCATGGAAGGGAAGTTCTGGGAAGGGAAGGGTGTGGTCCCTTTAAATAATAGACAAGGAGGACGGGAAGTGTGGGGAAGGGAAGGTCATGGTCCCTGGCCCAGGGATCCACTCCCGGCTTGTGCCCACAGACCTACATGAGAACAGGCACACCTCCCTTTGCACCCAACTGTTGCATTTCCCAAGTCCATCCTGGCCTGCCATGCCCCCATCCTGTGCCTATAAAAACCCCAAGACACTAGCAGGCAGACACACAAGCAGCTAGACATCAAAAGAAACACATGGAAGAAGGCACAAGCAGCTGGATGTTGAGAGCCATCAAGGGGAGCACTCCTGTGGAAGAGCACACGATGGATGCTGGCATGCTGGCAGGCCATCAACTGGGGAACAAGGTGGAGTTTGGCCGGGGCAGTTGGAGGAGAGCCTGGGCCGCTGAGGAGCCCAACTCCAGGGAAAAACCATCTCCCTTCTCCTACCCCATCTGCTGAGAACTACTTCCACACATTAAAACTTTGCACTCATTCTCCAAGCCCACGTGTGATCTGATTCTCATGATACACCCCAGATACCGAAAGCCCTCTGTCCTTGTGACAAGGCAGTGGTCTAATTGAGCTGACTAACACAAGATGCCTAAGGACGGCTAAACTAAAAGAGCACCCTGTAACATATGCTTACTGGGGCTTCAGCTGTAAACATTCACCCCTAGACACTGCCATGGGGTTGGAGCCCCACAGCCTGCCCATCTGTAGGCTCCCCTAGAGGTTTGAGCAGTGGGGCACTGAAGAAGCGAGCCACACCCCCATCACACACCCTGCGAGGGGGGTGAGGGAACTTTCCCTGTTTCACTACTTGTAGTCAGCAGTTACATCCTGTGGAAATGTCCATAGCAGAAAGGATCTCAGCCACTGAGTAAAAATTTGGCAATTACTTAAAATGACTAATTTATTTATTCATTGGAAAATATGAAAAGACCATTTAACTCTCCAGGAACTTGAAAAAAAATGATGTTAGGGAAGTTCTAGGATGACTGAGCAACACATTTCAGCCTCATGGAAAGAAAAGGAATAGAGAAAACCAGTAAGATAATCAAATAAAAATATTAATTAATGTCGGCAGAGATTTCTAACATAGCATCTATTTGATAATAAGATAAGGCTATACAGAAAGAGAAAACACAAATTAGAAAAGGTTTTTGACGTTTGTAAAAAGAGAACAAAATATCAGGACCTTCCAAATTTATTATGCCAAGGGGAAAAGTTAAGCCCTGGAAACTGATTCATGTAACACTGTGGTTTTTCTTCTCTGGTGCATGATCACAGCTCCCTAACCTTTGTGTTGAGATGTTATCCATTAACTGAATTCCCTGTTCTTTATTCAAACCTAGACTAAATGACATTGAGATAGAGAAACTTGTGATTGTTATCTCTTTACAATAGAATGCCAGGCAACCCTTTAGAGTGTAATCAATAGTAGCCAACCAAATCTTGTAACTGTATGTTATCCTTTGTATGAAAAATGCAATTCTTTTTAGCAACTCTGTTTTGCCCGTATAAACAATCTTCATTTTTCCCAATGCAGGGAGCACTGATCATTCTTTTGTGCAGATTTGCTCCTTGGCTGGCTACCCTCATACTTTGAACTTGAATAAACTCTTAACTGGAACTTGAGCCTTTTGATGATTTTAGGTTAACATGTTAAAAATACAAAAATTAAAAAGTCCGCTTAGATTCTGCACTCCTGGTAATACTGGGAGCAAGGCATTTCTGACCCTAATTCCTGGAGGAAATGAAAATTAAAAAAAAAAAAAAACTTTTAAAGAAATTGGCTTTACATTCTGGAAAAAGTTAAAAGACAGAGATAAGTGGCTAGGCCAACTTCCAGGGAAGCACAGGAATCCAGAGGTGAATGTAGCACTTACATACAAAGCCTATTTTGCCCCTTAAGCATTTGCTTATGTTGCAAACTTGTAGCATTTTGGTTCTGATAGACTCACAGACCGAGTGGTAAAAAATCCAGGCTCAGGAAGGCAGGCATATAAAATAAGACACTCCCACATTCTCACCTGAATGAGAGCCTATGATCCCACTGTCAAGATAATGCAGTATCAATACCAAAGGGATGAAAGAACCCTGGGAAATATTCCTGATACATTTTATTGATGAGCTAACTCTACACAAATTTGCAGCTCAGGTTTCCATTATTTTTCAAGGACAATGACGGTAAATAAAAATGAATAAAACAGCTGGCAAGGAAAGAAGACACACCGTAAGTGAGAACTAGGAAAAAAGACCAAGATAGTCATCAGATATCGAAGTGTCCAAACATAAATTATGACATAATGATTCTTGCCATTAAAAATAATACAAGAAAAATGTAAAAATGTCAAGAATCAGAAAAATAGAAAATGAATTATCAGATTTAATAAAGAAAATGAAATACCTAGAAACAACAACAAAAATGTAATAAATAGAATTATAAGCTAATAGATAGCATTAGCTATTCTATTTCTATAATTAATAATAATATTGGAGTTCTCAGGGTGGTTCCAAGATAGCCAAATAGGAATAGCTCCAGTCTACAGCCCCCAGTGTGAGCGACGCAGAAGGCGGGTGATTTCTGCATTTCCAACAGAGGTACTGGGTTCATCTCACTGGGGCTTGTTGGACTGTGGGGGCAGGACAGTGAGTGCAGCACACCAAGCATGAACCGAAGCAGGGTGAGACATCACCTCATGTGGGAAGCACAAGGGGTCAGGGAATTCCCTTTCCTAGCAAAGGGAAGGGGTGACAGACGGCACCTGGAAAATCGGGTCACTCCCACCCTACTACTGTGCTTTTCCAATGGTCTTAGCAAATGGCACACCAGGAGATTATATCCCCCACCCGGCTCGGAGGGTCCCACGTCCACAGAGCCTCGCTCATTGCTAGCACAGCAGTCTGAGATCTGCAAGGCAGCAGCGAGGCTGGAGGAGGGGCACCCGCCATTGCTGAGGCTTGAGAAGGTAAACAAAGTAGCCAGGGAGCTCGAACTGGGTGCAGCCCACCTCATCTCAAGGAGGCCTGTCTGCCTCTGTAGACTCCACCTCTAGGGGCAGGGCATAGCTGAACAAAAGGCAGCAGAAACCTCTGCAGACTTAAATGTCCCTGTCTGACAGCTTTGAAGTGAGTAATGGTTCTCCCAGCACGGAGTTTGAGATCTGAGAATGGACAGACTGCCCCCTCAAGTGGGTCCCTGACCCCCGAGTAGCCTACCTGGGAGGCAGCCTCCAGTAGGGGCAGACTGCAAACTAACACAGCAGGGTACCCCTCTGAGACGAAGCTTCCAGAGAAATGATCAGGCAGCAGCATTTGCTGTTCAGCAATATTCACTGTTCTGCACCCTCCATTGCTAATACCCAGGCAAACAGGGTCTGGAGTGGACCTCCAGCAAACTCCAACAGACTTGCAGCTGAGGGTCCTGACTGTTAGAAGGAAAACTAACAAAAAGAAAGGACATCCATACCATAACCCCATCTGTACGTCACCATCTTCAAAGACCAAAGGTAGATAAAACCACAAAGATGGGGAAAAAACAGAGCAGAAAAGCTGAAAATTCTAAAAATCAGAGTGCCTCTCCCCCTCCAAAGGAACGCAGCTCCTCGCCAGCAATGGAACGAAGCTAAATGTAGAATAAGACTTTGACAAGTTGAGAGAGGAAGGCTTCAGAAGATCATATTTCTCCGAGCTAAAGGAGGAAGTTTGACCCCATTGCAAAGAAGCTAAAACCCTTGAAAAAAGATTAGATGAATGGCTAAATAGAATAACCAATGTAGAGAGGCCTTAATGACCTGATGGAGCTGAAAAACATGGCACGAGAACTACATGACAAATGCACAAGCTTCAGTAGCCGATTCAATCAACTGGAAGAAACAGTATCACTGATTGAAGATCAAATGAATGAAATGAAGCAAGGAGAGAAGTTTAGAGAAAAAAGAGTAAAAAGAAATGAACAAAGCCTCCAAGAAATATGGGACTATGTGAAAAGACCAAATCTACGTCTGATTGGTGTACCTGAAAGTGACAGGGAGAATGGAACCAAGTTGGAAAACACTCTGCAGGATATTATCCAGGAGAACCCCAACCTAGCAAGGCAGGCCAACATTCAAATTCAGGAAATACAGAGAACGCCACAAAGATACTCCTCGAGAAGAGCAACTCCAAGACACATAATTGTCAGATTCATCAAAGTTGAAATGAAGGAAAAAATGTTAAGGGCAGCCAGAGAGAAAGGCCGGGTTACCCTCAAAGGGAAGCCCATCAGACTAACAGCTGA
The DNA here is from genome assembly GCF_000001405.40 of Homo sapiens. Lineage (NCBI taxonomy): Eukaryota > Metazoa > Chordata > Mammalia > Primates > Hominidae > Homo > Homo sapiens. Next base: position 81,736,730 of record NC_000010.11, read on the forward strand.
TCTCTCAGCAGAAACTCTACAAGCCAGAAGAGAGTGGGGCCAATATTCAACATTCTTAAAGAAAAGAATTTTCAACCCGGAATTTCATGTCCAGCCAAACTAAGCTTCATAAGTGAAGGAGAAATAAAATCCTTTACAGACAAGCAAATGCTGAGAGATTTTGTCACCACCAGGCCTGCCCTAAAAGAGCTCCTGAAGGAAGCACTAAACATGGAAAGGAACAACCAGTACCAGCGACTGCAAAATCATGCCAAATTGTAAAGACCATTGAGACTAGGAAGAAAATGCATCAACTAACGAGCAAAATTACTAGCTAACATCATAATGACAGGATCAAATTCACACATAACAATAATAACTTTAAATGTAAATGGGCTAAATACTTCAATTAAAACACACAGACTGGCAAATTGGATAAACATTCAAGACCCATCAGTGTGCTGTATTCAGGAAACACATCTCTCATGCACAGACACACATAGGCTCAAAATAAAGGGATGGAGGAAGATCTACCAAGAAAATGGAAAACAAAGAAAAGTCAGGGGTTGCAATCCTAGTCTCTGATAAAACACACTTTAAACCAACAAAGATCAAAAGAGACAAGGCCATTACATTATGGTAAAGGATCAATTCAACAAGAAGAGCTAACTATCCTAAAAATATATGCACCCAATACAGGAGCACCCAGATTCATAAAGCAAGTCCTTAGAGACCTACAAAGAGACTTAGACTCCCACACAATAATAATGGGAGACTTTAACACCCCACTGTCAACATTAAACAGATCAATGAGACAGAAAGTTAACAAGGATATCCAGGAATTGAACTCAGCTCTGCACCAAGCATACCTAACAGACATCTACAGAATTCTCCACCCCAAATCAACAGAATAGATATTCTTCTCAGCACCACATCACACTTATTCCAAAATTGACCACATACTTGGAAGTAAAGCTCTCCTCAGCAAATGTAAAAGAACAGAAATTATAACAAACTGTCTCTCAGACCACAGTGCAATCAATCTAGAACTCAGGATTAAGAAACTCACTCAAAACTCTCAATTACATGGAAACTGAACAACCTGCTCCTGAATGACTACCGGGTACATAACGAAATGAAGGCAGAAATAAAGATGTTCTTTGAAACCAATGAGAACAAAGGCACACATACCAGAATCTCTGGGACACAGGTAAAGCAGTGTATAGAGGGACATTTATAGCACTAAATGCCCACAAGAGAAAGCAGGAAAGATCTAAAATGACACCCTAACCTCACAATTAAAAGAACTAGGGAAGCAAGAGCAAACACATTCAAAAGCTAGCAGAAGGCAAGAAATAACTAAGATCAGAGCAGGGCTGAAGGAGATAGGGACACAGAAAACCCTTCAAAAAATCAATGAATCCAGGAGCTGGTTTTCTGAAAAGATCAACAAAATTGATAGACCACTAGCAAGACTAATAAAGAAGAAAAGAGGAAAGAATCAAATAGACGCAATCAAAAATGATAAAGAAATACAAACTACTATCAGAGAATACTATAAACACCTCTATGCAAATAAACTAGAAAATCTAGAAGAAATGGATAAATTCCTGGACACATACACATCCCCAAGACTAAACCAGGAAGAAGTTGAATCCCTGAATAGACCAATAACAGGCTCTGAAATTGAGGCAATAATTAATAGCCTACCAACCAAAAAAAGTCCAGGACCAGACGGATTCACAGCCGAATTCTACCAGAGGTACAAGGAGGAACTGGTACCATTCCTTCTGAAACTATTCCAATGAATAGAAAAAGAGGGAATCCTCTCTAACTCATTTTATGAGGGCAGCGTCACCCTGATACCAAAGCCTGACAGAGACACAACAAAAAAAGAGAATTTTAGATCAATATCCCTGATGAACATTGATGCAAAAATCCTCAATAAAATTCTGGCAAACCGAATCCAGCAGCACATCAAAAAGTTTATCCACCATGATCAAGTGGGCTTCATCCCTGGGATGCAAGGCTCGTTCAACATACACAAATCAATAAAGGTAATCCATCATATAAACAGAACCAAAGACAAAAACCACATGATTATCTCAACAGATGCAGAAAGGCCTTCAACAAAATTCAACAGCGCTTCATGCTAAAATCTCTCAATGAATTAGGTACTGATGGGACGTATCTCAAAATAATAAGAGCTATTTATGACAAACCCACAGCCAATATCATACTGAATGTGCAAAAACTGGAAGCATTCCCTTTGAAAACTGGCACAAGACAGGGATGCCCTCTCTCACCACTCCTATTCAACATAGTGTTGGAAGTTCTGGCCAGGGCAATCAGGCGGGAGAAGGAAATAAATGGTATTCAATTAGGGAAAGAGGAAGTCAAATTGTTCCTGTTTGCAGATGACATGATTTTATATATAGAAAACCCCATCGTCTCAGCCCAAAATCTCCTTAAGCTGATAAGCAACTTCAGCAAAGTCTCAGGATACAAAATCAATGTGCAAAAATCACAAGCATTCTTATAAACCAATAACAGACAAATACAGAGCCAAATCATGAATGAACTCCCATTCACAATTGCTTCAAAGAGAAGAAAATACCTAGGAATCCAATTTACAAGGGATGTGAAGGACCTCTTCAAGGAGAACTACAAACCACTGCTCAAGGAAATAAAAGAGGACACAAACAAATGGAAGAACATTCCATGCTCATGGATAGGAAGAATCAATATCATGAAAATGGCCATACTGCCCAAGGTAATTTATAGATTCGATGCCATCCCCATCAAGCTACCAACGACTTTCTTCACATAATTGGAAAAAACTACTGTAAAGTTCATATGGAACCAAAAAAGAGCCTGCATTGCCAAGAAAATCCCAAGTCAAAAGAACAAAGCTAGAGGCATCATGCTACCTGACTTCAAAGTATACTACAAGGCTACAGTAACCAAGACATCATGGTACTGGTACCAAAACAGAGATATAGACAAATGGAACAGAACAGAGCCCTCAGAAATAATACCACACATCTACAACCATCTGATCTTTGACAAACCTGACAAAAACAAGAAATGGGGAAAGGATTCCTTATTTAATAAATGGTGCTGTGAAATCTGGCTAGCCATATGTAGAAAGCTGAAACTGGATCCCTTCCTTACACCTTATACAAAAATTAATTCAAGATGGATTAAAGACTTAAACGTTAGACCTAAAACCATAAAAACCCTAGAAGAAAACCTAGGCATTACCATTCAGGACATAGGCATGGGCAAGGACTTCATGTCTAAAACACCAAAAGCTATGGCAACAAAAGCCAAAATTGACAAATGGGATCTAATTAAACTAAAGAGCTTCCACACAGCAAAAGAAACTACCATCAGAGTGAACAGGCAACCTACAGAATGGGAGAAAATTTTTGCAGTCTACTCGTCTGACAAAGGCATAATGTCCAGAATCTACAAAGAACTCAAACAAATTTACAAGAAAAAAACAAACAACCCCATCAGCAAGTGGGTGAAGAATATGAACAGACACCTCTCAAAAGAAGACATTTATGCAGCCAACAGACACATGAAAAAATGCTCATCATCACTGGCCATCAGAGAAATGCAAATCAAAACCACAATGAGATACCATCTCACACCAGTTAGAATGGCGATCATGAAAAAGTCAGGAAACAACAGGTGCTGGAGAGGATGTGGAGAAATAGGAACACTTTTACACTGTTGGTGGGACTGTAAACTAGTTCAACCATTGTGGAAGACAGTGTGGCAATTCCTCAAGGATCTAGAACTAGAAATACCATTTGACCCTGCCATCCCATTACTGGGTATATACCCAAAGGATTATAAATCATGCTGCTATAAAGACACATGCAAACATATGTTTATTGTGGGACTATTCACAATAACAAAGAGTTGGAACCAACCCAAATGTCCAACAATGATAGACTGGATTAAGAAAATGTGGCACATATACACCATGGAATACTATGCAGCCATAAAAAAGGATGAGTTCATGTTCTTTGTAGGGACATGGATGAAGCTGGAAACCATCATTCTCAGCAAACTATTGCAAGGACAAAAAACCAAACACCACATGTTCTCACTCATAGGTGGGAATTGAACAATGAGAACACTTGGACACAGGAAGGGGAACATCACACACCAGGGCCTGTCACAGGGTGGGGGGAGGGGGGAGGGATAGCATTAAGAGATATGCCTAATGTAAATGACAAGTTAATGGGTGCAGTACACCAACATGGCACATGTATACCTATGTAACAAACCTGCATGTTGTGCACATGTACCCTAGAACTTAAAGTATATATAAAAAAAAAAGAACAGTACTTCTCAACTGGTATACCACGTCACAAGTATATCTTTATCCTTTCTCAAACATGTGCGAAAATATCTATACATATATTAAATTTTTTTGTGTAGCCGAATATGTAGGTGAAGTGCACACTGATGTTTCACTTGGCTGAATAAAATAAGAGGTGAGAGAAAAAAATAATAATAATGATAGTATTGAATACTGATATTGAAAACATGTTCATTTACATTGGGGGCATTCGGTTATACCAGTCCATGAAGTGTCTTTTCAAGTTTTCCATTCAGTAGTTTTTTTCTTCATTTTTCATTGATTTAGAAAGTTTCTAAAAATATATTCTGTATGAGTTCTTGGATACATAGATAATAGATAATAGAAAGGTAATCATTTATAAATATATATAAAATAATGTTATATATACACACACATAAATATATTTTAAAATATGTATTTTCTCCAAGGCTTCCTCTAAGTCTACAGCTTGCCTATTCTCTATCATAATGGTGTCTTTTTAAAATATCTTAATTTTAATAAAATCTAATTTATTAATTTTCTAAAGGGTGAATAGATTGTGTTCTGTTTAAGAAAACTTTTCCCAGTACAAAATCAAAAATTTTCTGTTTTCTTTTAGAAGTTGTATTGCTTTACAATTTATATTTTAGAATCTATCTCTAATTAATTTTTGTACATGGTGTGAGGTAGGAATCAATACTTTTTTCTTTTTTGATTCTAATTGACCCAGTACTACTTATTAGAAGTACGATTCAAACCCCAGTGCATTTCAGTGACACCTTTGTTGTATATAAGATGGTTGTAAATGTATTCATTGATTTCTCTCTTCTGTTCCACTAGTCTATTCATCTAGACTTGTACCAAAACAACACCATCTTAATTATTGTTACATTACAAGAGATCTTGACATCCGGCAGTGCAAGTTCTCTAACTTTGTTAGTTGAGAGAAAAATCTAAAGTTTAAAATTATTTAATAAACCTGAAAGAAGACAAAAAAGTAAAGTAAAATATTATATCTCTATCTATTATCAGTGTCTGTCTGTCTCTCTATCTATCATCTATCTATATTTTTATCTAGAGAGAAAGGAGAGGAATAGGATGAATAAAACAAAATCATAGATTTACAACCTCCACCACAAAATTTTCATTCCATCAGCAATAAAAAATTGGTAAAAAGTAGAGATAGTCATACTTGATTAAACAAATGAAATCCACCTCAATGTTGTTTATAAGAGTAAGTCAAAAGTAATGCAATCACATTGAGAGAAAATTGGAAAAACCATGTCATTAAAAAATAAACAAAAAGAAAGCTGGCATTGCATCAATATCAGACAAAAATAATAACATTCACTTTATGATAATAAAAGTGTTCTCACTAGGGAGAAACATCAAAGCCAAATATTTGATTTTTGAAAAAATTAATAAAATGTATGAACACCTGAAGACAGAGAACACAAAATTCATCAGGAGTCAAAGCGTATCCCACACAGGTCCTACACACACCCTTTTTAACCCAAAAGGATTTGTCAATGAATTTCTTCAAGCATTCAAGGAAGAAATTATAATGTTAAACTAAGTCTTCTAGGAAATAGAAAAAAAACCGACTCTCTATTTTTATAAGGTATATATAACCTTGATGCAAAATCTGACAAGAACAATATCATCAAGAAAATTATTTCACTAATTTCACTCATTAAGACATTTAGTAACAAAAATCCTAAACATAATATAAGCAAACTAAATCAAGAAACATATAAAAAGGATAATATGACATGACAGTTAATTTTTTTCAGGGACACAAGGATGATTTGACTTAATATCTGACACTTAATAATTTGAGTAAAGGAAAAAGAAAACAAAGCAAGAAAAATATTTCTATATGGTTAAAGTATGAAAACCATAGACAAGTAATGTTAGGATGAAACATTGTTAATCATAATAAAAGGGATGCGGCCAAGCACAGTGGCTCACACCTGTAATCCCAGCACTTTGGGAGGCTGAAGCAGGTGGATCAACTGAGGTCAGTTCAAGACCAGCCTGGTCAACATGGTGAAACCCCATCTCTTCTAAAAATACAAAAAAAAAAAAAAAAAGAAGCCAGGCGTGGTGTCAGGTGCTTGTAATCCCAGTTACTTGGGTGGCTGAGGCAGGAGAATCGCTTGAACCCGGGAGATGGAGGTTGCAGTGAGCTGAGATCGCACCATTACACTCAGCCTGGGTGACACAGCAAGACTCCACCTCAATAAATAAATTAAATAACAATAAATAAAAGAGATGCACATAAAATGTGTGGCATTATACTCCCTGGTTAAACCCTGAAATGCTGTCCATTAAAGATCAAAGTTAAGACTTCCAACTCTCACTACATTTTTACACCACTCCAGTAGAAGATGTTGCCAACTAAGAAAGTCAAGAAAATATCTAAAAGGCATAAGGGATAGAAATGAGGAAATTATTTTTAGCAGGTGGTATGATTGTGTGAGTAGTAAATCCAAAAGAACACAGAAGTATATTTTTAGAATTTAGAAGAAAGTTCAGCAAGTTAGCTCAACACAAAATCTATATATAAAAATCAATTGCCTTTCTATATGCCACCCACAAAGGTTTAGAAAACATTTAAAAATATAATGTAAATATGCATCAAAAATCTGAATTATCCAGGAATAAATTTAACAAAATATATTCAAGAATTCTGCAGAGATCATTATAAAATATTATTGGAAATTATTAAAGAAAATATCAATAAATGAGGAGATTTTCTTTCTCACTGGATTACAAAACTCAGAATTACACAGACATCTATTCTTCAGGAAATAATCATAGATTTACAAATATTCTAATCAAATTCATCTTTCATTTTTTCTTTGTTTTCTGTTTTGCTTTTTTTCCCAGAGGAACAAGGAAATGGAATGCCCAAGTATAGCCAAGATAGTCTTGAAAAGGAAGAGTAGGAAAACTAGCTAAACCAGGTATCAGGATTTATTACAAAAACACAGTCATTAAGTTGACCTGGTACTGGTACAAGCATAAATACCTAGGTCAGAAAAAAGATTATAAAAAAAGACCAAATTTAATGGAGAGTTGAAATTTAACAAGATTGCTCTGCAGCTCAGTTGAGGAAAAAAATGTTTTTTCAATAAATGCCCCTGGGAAAATTGACTGTACATATAAAAATTAATTTGAAATCTTACATCACACAACACACAAGGTAGATTAAAGACTTCTCTGTAAACCCAGAAAACCTAATGCTTTTACAAGATGATCACAGAATATCTTTATGATGTCACAATAGGGAAAGATTTCTTAAAACACAAAAAGTACTAACTACAAAGAAAAATATTGATTAATTTGACTACCTTAAAATTGAAAACTTTATCAAAAGATATTACGAAGATAGAGAAAAGCCAAAAACTGAGAAAAAAATAGTTTGTGGCGCATGCAAAAACAAAAGATTTGTATTAATATAATATAAAGAACTACTGTAAGTAAATAGGAAAAAAGCAAATACTGTATTAGAAAAATGGACAAACAGACTTAATCAGGCACTCTACAAAGAGGAAATACCAAGGGGATTGAATATTATCATCATTACATACCCATTAGAGTTGGAAAAATTTCAGCTCTGATAGTATGGGGTGGTGTTGGGGATGTGGAGCCCTGGGTGCTGTCATGAACTATGGGTGGGATGTAAGGTTGTTCAACTCTTATGGAACTCTGTAGGAAACTCATGGAATTCTCTTTAATGTTATCTAGTAAGTATAAAGCTACCATAGCTTTTAACCCAGCAACTCCACTCATAAAAAATCAAGCATATGTGTATTAGATTACATGCACAAGAATTGTTCCCAATAGCTCCAAAATGCGTATAATTTAAATGTCCATCATTAGCAAATAACTTGTGAAATACTCATATAATGGAATACTACATAGCAATAAACATTATAGAAATATAGCCACTTGCAAAAGCATGGATGGAGCTCATAAACACCAAAGTATACACATCGTAAAGTTCTGTATACCAAAATTGAAAATGCAAAAATTACTAAGATATAATTTCTACGAATACATATGTAGATAGTAATATTATGAAAAAAACAAAATCTTTATCATACAATTCATAATAATAATGATCTCTAGGGGAGAATAATGAGATTGTAACTAGTGATTGATACATGGTACACTTCTGCACTCTAGAAATACTTTGTAAACCTGGGTAATGTATATGTAAGTGTTCTTTTTATGATCTGACTGTATGCATTACTATTTCACACTAAAAGAAGAGAGAAAAGTACATTAACATAATAAGCATACAATGTCAGAAACATTGGTGAAAAAGATTTTAAAATTCTGGAAAAATAGAGTTTCATTAGAAATATGGAAAAAATAGAAGTAAGGAACTTGGAAGATAAACAACAGAAGATGCAATAGCATTCTAATAAAAATTGTAGAATAAGAGCAAAAAAATTAATCATGGTAATGCAAAGATGGGAAATAAGAATTTTCTCAAGGAGAAGCTTGTTAAGACTTCACATTGAAGAGCTCCCTGTGTTCAAGTAGGGCTTTTTTTTTTTGTCTAATGCAGCTGAAATTTCTAAATTTCAAGAATAAAGAGAAAATCAGCTGGGCGTGGTGGCTCACGCCTGTAATCCCACCACTTTGGGAGGCTGAGGCGGGTGGCTCACCTTGAAGTCAGGAGTTCGAGACCAGCCTGGCCAACATGGTGAAACCCCCGTCTCTACTAAAAATACAAAAATTAGGCAGGCATGTTGGCAGGCACCTGTACGCCCTGCTACCCCAGAGGCTGAGACAGGAGAGTCGCTTTAACTCAGGAGGCGGCAGTTGCAGTGCGCCAGATCGCCCCACTGCACTCCACCCTGGGCAACAGAGCATGACTCCGCCTCAAGAAAAATAAATAAATAAAGAGAAAATAAGGAAAAGGTTTAGGGCAGAAAGAGAAATGTGTCTAAACATAAATTATCTACTGATTAGACTTATCTTTAATAAAGAATGCTGGGAGAAAATGGAAAAATGTTTTTCAAATTCCAGAGTAAAGTAGTTTTGACACTGTTTTTGAATTAACTAACATTTCTACACACTGTTTTAAGTGCATTACATGTAATACTCCATTTATTCCTCACATAAGTAAATCGGTATTTTTATGCGTTTTTTACAGATGAAGAAAATGAGGCAGAGTGTTAAGTAACTTCTGTGAAGTTATACAGTTAGTAAGAAGCAGAGTGGGATTCAGGATCACACAGACAGATTTGAGAGTTTGTGCTTCTAATCTCTATACATCTTTCTAGAAAAAAAATACCTGACCAAATTATTATTTACTTAAGCCTGGGGTGGTGGGCAGGGAGATATTTGGGGCAAACAAAGTCTCAGAAATTTTGGTATCAAGGAATTATCTTTGAATAACAGAAAAATTTACTTGAAAATATAATCTGGCAATTTTGTTATTTATCTTCCCCAGAAAGGGAAGACAGCAGTTGTAAAACATTCCAATTTATTTTCCAGTGCATTCTGCCTCACTATAGAAACCTCTTGAATGTCGTGGCACTAATGGAGCAAAAGCCCAACCCAGCATATTCCCCAGTGTATACTCTCTCTCTGCCTATATCTGAAAAGCCAAAGGCAATTGGAGAATTTAACTTATAATTACATATTTTTGTCACAAATTCATGAACGTAACCGCAAATGTGCATGCAAAACTTCTAGGCAAACGTACTCTGCTTCTCTCTTTTACATGCGTCCTCACTTTCTGCAATAACGATTTTATACTTTCCCACTCTCCTCAAACACTCCACCTCTCAGTCCTAACCCCACTCCCTACAGATGCCTGGCCTGCTACTTAAGAGAAAATTAAATTAGAATCCTTCGGTCTTCCTCTGAAGACCATACCGACCAGTATCTGCCTCCATTCCCTCCTGTTAAAAAAGATGAACTGTCCTTCCTTGTATTCAATTCTGATTCCTCTACCCATCGTTAGAAACCCTATTCTCACATAACTTAAATTGCATGCCTTTCTGTCTAGTGTAATCAATATCATCATTTCGATTTAATTTCTCATTGAATATGCTCTATAAAATCATGATCCAGCAGCTTTTTCCAGATATAATCTTCTCTTCTTTTAGATGAACCAATTTCAAAAAGGTTTATACTCATTATTTTTGTTTATCCTTCCTTCACTGAATTATCAGACAAACCAGCTATCTGTTCCATTACATCTCTAAAGCAGTGCTTTCTATAGTAGCCATGTCACTAAGTCTAGTGGATATTGTTTAGTCTTTGTTCTGTTTCACCTCCCAGTAGCTTTCCAAACTATTTTACTACATTTTTCATTGAAGCGTTGTCTTCTTTTTTCATTACTGGCTCCTCTCTTTCTTTGTTTTCTTCCTAATTTCCTGACAGCTTCTCAGTTTTATTTCATAAGACACCTCCTCTTCATCTTGACCATTGAAAGTTGAAGTTCTTCAACGCTGTAGATTAGGGCCACTTTTCCTCTGATTGTCTGCTGTCCCGTGCTATCCAATATTGGCCCACAGTGTCAATTACCAATTTAGTGAAGACTCTCAAATCTCCAACCTAAACTGCTCTCTGAGCTCCAGGAAGACCTGAAATTTCCATGTAGATGTCTCAAGTTCACATCAAACTAATGGCATGTATTCAAACTAAGATTGTGATCTTCACCTTCTGTAATCCCATGACAACTGGGATGAAACAACATAGGGCAAATATCAGAATAATTTTCATACTTTCATTTCCTCTCCTGTTTTATCACGAAGTCCTATTGATGTTACATCCTGAACCACTACAAGCTGCCATTGTTTCTTCTGAAGACTACAAAAATATTCCCTCAGTGGTTAACCCACAATGTTCAGGCATAGTCTCCAGACCATTTTCCATGCTGCTTTCTGCAGGATCTTTTAAACAATTTATTACAACCATCTTCTCTCAATTTAAAAATCTTCGGTGGAGTTCTTCACTTCATTGCTTAACAATGTTCTGCATGATCTATTACCTACTAACACTTCAAAACTTATCTTGTACCTGCAGCCCTGAAATTTTGCAATTATTTCTTTGCCTTTGCACACTTGAGTAATCCAGCCTCTCCCACATCTAATCTTTTCATCTGTGTATGTATGTTGTGTGTTTTTGTGTGTAGATATGTACATATGTATATTTACACATATATCTACCTACATGTTTGTGTAGACGTATATGTATATATATATATTTTTCTTAGTTTTCTATTTTAAAATTGTTAAATTATTCAAGCAGAGAAAAAAACTACAAAAATAAGATGTGATGTCGGTGGTACCCACCACCCATATATAATCCATGTCCAAATTGCTTCATGTCACTTTTAAGAAAATAAAATGTTACGGATACGGTTGTCATTCCCTTTGTACTTCTTTCCAATTCCATTTTTCTTTTTCTATCCCAAGAGGCATTGACTGTCCTGAAATTTGTGGTTATCCTTTCTAACCAAATCCGTATATATTTACTTTCACCAATCAACTGACTAAAAGAGCAATATAATACATTGCTTTGTGCATTTTCTATTTCTATTGTTACATAAAGTAATCTTATTATAATTCTGTGAGAAGTTTTTACTTAATGTTATAATTTTGATATACAAAAATGTCAATATGTGTAAAATAATGTATTCATTGATACTTGAAGTTTTATCATTCTACTTGATGAATATTTATTTTGTTTTTTTATACTCTCAACAATGCCATAGTAATATCCTTGTATTTCTCCATATGCATATATGTAAGAGTTTCTCCAGAATATATGTTAGAAATTTGTGGATATTAGTAAAATCACAACTTCAATATTACTAAATATTATCCAATTGGTTTCCAACATGGCAGTAGGTAATTACACTCAGAGTAGCAATATGTGACTTTCCACCTCCTTATATCTGTGGTATTGGTGACTCTGAAATGGCATCTCACATTTTAAAGTATACTTACCTGATTACTAGATACTGAGCATCTTTTCATATGAGTATTAATCATTTGAATTTTCTCTTCTTAAATCAGCTTTAGATGCCATTTGTTCATTTGTTTATTTTCTTTTGATAAGTTTATCTTATTGATCTGTAAGTACTCTATAAGCTTTCTTTTTACTAATACTGGGTTGGTCATGTATGTTGCAGATACCATCCAAACTGTAGCCTATTTTTAAACTTAGTTCATGTAACATATTTTAACATATAAAAGTGTTTAAATTTAATGCCAACATATCAATATTTTCCTTTTCTATTTTTTTGTTATTTCTTTTTCAATAAACCTTTTCCTACTTTGATCAATTTTCCTGTATTTTACTGGACAGATTCTAAAGATTTATTTTTCTTATTTAGAATGCTGGCCCTTGTGGAATTATTCTATGTGCAGGGTGAGAAGGTAATCTTCTCTCATAGTTTTCTAAATCAAATTATCAAATATCTGAAAGCAATTTATTAAACAGAGCAGAGAATGGCAAACTGGGGCCCATGGGTCAGCTGCCTATTTTTGTATATAAAGTTTTCCTGGAACACAGCTCTCCTCATTTGTTTCTACATTGGCTGTTTTTGTGCTACATCAGCAGAGCTGGGTGGTTGTGACAGAGACACTATGGTTCTCAATGCCTGAATTATTTACTATCTGTCCCTTTAAGAAAATATTTGCCAACTAGTCAATCATTTGTTCACTGTTTTATGAAACAGTGACTTGTTATACACCAAGTTACCATAAAGGGTTTGTTTCTGGCCTCTCCATTCTGTTCTGTTTGCCTATAAAGCCACTTTGTCAATATCACATGGTTCCAATGACTACAGCTTTATAATATATTTGGACCTCCCACCTGATTCTGCTCTAAAAAGTTCCTATTTTCAGAAATTCACTCATCTGTCAGAATTTCAGATTACTCTGTTGAGCTCAGTGAAAAACACATTTAGATGTTTACTTGCATTTGAGAAAATGTGACATCTTTAAGGTGTTAAGTCTTTCATTCATGAAATGACATGTCTCTCTAATAATACAGGTCTTCTTTTATGTACTTTGTGAAATTTTAAAGTTTTCTCTATAATAGCTCTGCACATCTTTGGTAGATTGATTCTTAGGTATGTTTCCATTCTCTTCTTTATATGTCTTCTCATATTTTCTTTTTTCCTTACTGTGCCGCTGTGGATAATTTCCTCAGATCCATCTTTCAGCTCAGTAAATCACTCTTCAAATGTGCCTAATCTGCTATTTAACATTCATTGAGTTTTTTGTATCAAAAGCTGTAATTTTATTTCTAGAAGTTTTATTCGATTCCTTTTAAAATATGCCTGTTCTTAGAGTTTCCATTTTTTTCCAATCCTTATTTTATCCATATAATCCTTCCAACATATTTACTTTATTGTGCTATCAGACTGCTGTAGTCACTCAAATTATAGGTATTTTAATTTTTTTTTCTCTTTTCTAATGCCACTCCACCTCAGGGAAGTTTAATGCACTCTTCATTGTGACACAGTTCCTATAAAATGGTTTTTAATTTCATAACTGCCATGTTTATGCATGTGTGTTCATGTACATACTTTTTGTGGTGGTTGTTTATGTTATTGTTTAAAACCATCCTACAGTATTTCTCACCCTGAGAATTCCGGCAGCATGTTGGTGTTTAATTTAGGACTGTACACCAGTATCTCTCACAGGAGTCTTCTAGATTCCCAGGACAGAATCACACTTCCTTCTCACTTTGTCCTTTTTGATTTTGCCTCCCTGCAAGGTTCTCAGTACCATCTCCACCCCTTTCAAAGGCCCAATGAACACATCTTTTCCAGCTTTCAGGAGTCAAAACCCCAGACTCAGCCCACTCCCACCATTTCCTCAGGGCTTTGCTTTGTCACCTACAAACAGGCTTTAAGACCCTGCTTTATTTCTACTATAAGGGGATTCTTTCTCTTTCTTTAATCATTGACAATATTTATTTTGTTGTTGTCGTGCTATCTTGCTCAACATTGTACAGGTGCTTGCAACAGGGAGCTCACATTAACTCTGCCACTGTGATGCTGAAATCAACACTACCAGTTAAGTGGGAGTTGTCCTCCAAACTTCAGCTTTCTCAAGAAAGGATCCCAAGGCCCCCATGTTCCCAGCCTTAGTTAGTCATGTTTGGTGATGTGTTCTTATTGCACTGTTGGCATTTATCAAACATAAACCTTTGTCTTAAAGCTGGGTCACCATCCCAGACATATCTTTCTTCCTTCAAGGCAATATTATCTCAGAATCTTCCCTGGCTTTCCTTACTACTGGAACTTGGTTTGTCAGGGTTCCTTTTCCATGGCAATCATCTTCCTTAACCTTGGATTTTGGAATTCAAGGATATGACAATTCGGCTTTTGCAAGTTGATACAGATCGTCCAAAGTGAAATTTACTGCATAGCAAGAGCCAAAGTAGTTTCTGCCAAGCTCTCTAAAGGAAAATAAAATTTAACAACAAAAAATGGTATTTTCAAATTCTACATTTGAAACACATAGGAGAACACAAAAATGATTGTTTTCCAGAATAAAGATATGCATGAAAGTGATTTCTATTTCTATCCCTAGATACTAGAAAAGTGGGCACACATTTTACATAATTCTTCTTTTTTTTTTGAGATGGGAGTTTTGCTCTTGTCGCCCAGGCTGGAGTGCAATGGTGTGATCTCGGCTCACTGCAACCTCCACCTCCCAGGTTCAAGCGATTATCCTGCCCCAGCCTCCCAAGTAGCTGGGATTACAGGTGTGTGCCACCATGCCCAGCTAATTTTTGTATTTTTAGTAGAGACGGGGTTTCACCATGTTGGCCAGGCTGGTCTCAAACTCCTGACCTCAGGCGATCTGCCCATCTCAGCCTCCCAAAGTGCTGGGTTTACAGGCGTGAGCCACTGCACCCGGCCAATTTTATGTAATTCTTACCAACAAGGTATCCTATTTAAAGAGACATCTTGCTAAATAAATACAAGAAAAAAACAGAAACAGAAATTAACATGTAATAGAAATCTTATGGCACAACCACAATTATAAAGTGAGTATTTTAACACAGTTATCTCACAGACTGATACATGACATAGAGATATATCATAAATGGAAAAAAAAGTTGAATAAGAGTTTTGTGAGACATATATTTTGTATTTAAGGGCCTTTCATCCAATCAAAATAAAACATGTTCAGATACTCAAGAAATATTTAAATACAAAAATATATGATACTGTAAGTGATACACAAAGCTCACAAAATCACACAAAAAATGATGCAAATAGAAAAATTATGTGAAAACAATAAAAATAACAAGGAATTAACGAGACAGATATCCAAAAATAACTAATTTAGAAATTAAATATACATAGTATATCTTCTCAATAACTTGGGTTATAGAGGAAACTAAAGCCAAAATTAGGAATATTTTAAGTGATTGAAATTGAGAACACTTCTGCACATGTTATCTATTGCATTTAAAATTATAGACACACACACACACACATATATTCTTTAGTCTATTTACTGGACAATACAAAGCACTAAAAAATAAATTAGCTAAACATTCAAAATAAAAAGAAATTTAAAAAAAATGAAATGATAACAATAAAAAGAAACCAAGAGCTAGTCCTTAAAAAAGAAAGACAGATGAAATGTCAAGATTCAACACTGTGTGATCATAAGTAATATACAATGATAGCAATATGAAAGCTAATGTGCCTATAGATAGAAGTTTTTAAAAGCCAAATACTCCATGTCAATGAGTTTAAAAATTAATTGAGGTTTATGTAACTATATGTATTTTATATATAGCATATATATGTATGCATACTTATGTATGTATATATATAAACCATATTTTTATATAAAACTAACTGAGGTATGTATATATTATATATGTATTTTTCAAGATAAACATCAAAAATATCTATTCTTAAATATAAGTAATAACCACTTTAAAAAATGGCGGAAAACCTTCATCAATTAGGAAAGAAAAATTGTAAAATATATTTAAAAATGAAAAGTAAAATAGTATGTTAAATGGGCTATTCAGAAGGAAAATTAGCCATTAAGGTAATTGAAAGAAAACCATGAACAAAACGTATAAATTCAAGAGAAACTCCGTAAGCAAGAGAGTGAGCCCAGAACTGTAGAATGCTTTGATTATTGTCTTCTTTTTTCATTCCAAAAGTTAGCAAAGGTGATAGTGTGGTTTAAATAACATAGAGTCAATGCCTCAGTAAAGGGCTGACACTCAGCTCTGCCACTGCCATCTAGTCTGGCACTAGAACCTCTCAACTGGCATTAATGACAGTATTATCAGCTTAAACTTTGACAATGAAGTAAACAATAATTAGAGGCAGAGTCACAGGTGGCTGGCTAACTTTATCCTGAGAGGTATCTGGAGAGGAGATTGAAAGTGATTTATGCCACAGGGGATGACATCCAAGGGAATGACTTTTCTTTTTATAAATACAAGTAGTATCTTGAGCCTGTGTGCTTAAAATCACTTCTTGATGATGTGAAAACCTTTTCAGCTACCTCTGTCCACTGATATGTCATGTGTTGGTTATCTCCAATGCTCACCTGTTGTATTAGAGAGTACCTGAAACGTGGAAAGAACATGGGCTTGGAAAGTGTAGAAATATGTGGTCCTCCTGCCTTGGGATAAAAACCGTGGCAGCTGCCCACTAGTTAAAAACGTATCCGTACTTCCTATGATAACCAGGAATGCTGGACCCTCCTAGAAGGACCACCAGTGGGAGTTAACAACCAAAACGTGGAAAATGATTAAAAAAAAAAAAGGCTAAAGCACATCACTGAAAAACTGCATAAACAGACAAAAATGTTCAGGGGAGGGGGAGATTGGAGGAGGTAAGCTTTGGAAGATTTATAAATATGAAATGTTCCAAAATTATAATGATGACAATTGCCAACCAAATGTACCCATAAATTTAAAACATTCTAAATTCAAATCTCTTTTTTTTCTTTTTAAGGAGCTGGATTCTAAAATTCATCTAGCAAATTTCATGTGAAAGAAGGGAAAATATATATTTTTAAAAATATAGATGGACCTTTTAAGTGTGAAATTAGGAGTATTAATATAAACACCATAATGGCCCACAAAAAGAACTATCTTACTCTGAAGAACAGGTGAAGAAAAGTGGATTTTCAGAGGCATCGTGAGAAGGAGAGAATTGGAAACAAAGACCATATTAAAATTATGTGAAGAGGTTATAAAAAGAGGGTACACATATTATGCAAATGGTCTTGGGACTGGAGAAAATAGCAGAACATGAGCAATTTCTACTGGCTGAAGTGACTAAGAGACTTCTAAAGACAGGAATTTCATTTTAGTCCCTTCCATTAGTCCAAACTTCCAGAAAAAGGCTCAAAAACACAAAAGACATTAAGACATCTGGAAAACAAAAAAACTTTTGAGTAAAATAATTTAGGATGAGTGCGTTCACTTCTTTCCCCCTCTCCCACCACCAAAAACATTCTAAACAATGGACAATGAATTTCTCATTAAATTGAGTGGTACCCCAGAAGCCTATTTTTAAATACTAAAGATGACTCTACAAAGCAAAACGGCTTCTAGGACACTAATGCTGACACTGAGATCACAGGTCCATAAGACTGCAGTAATAAAAACTATGAAAAAATGGATGTAAAACAAACCAATAATTTGATGGGGCTAAATAGAATCCAAGAGCAGAGTAATTAATACATAAGAATGCATTCAATAATAAAGAAGCCATTCAAAGTAGGATGGGCCCTTCAATAATATGCGTGGCAATGATTGTTTATCCATTTAAAAATAACATTAGACCCTTTACATCTTACTAAAGTAAAAGTAGAAGAATGTCTTTTTAACCTTGACTAAGGGAAGCCCTCCCTAAAGATGTCAAAACTTAGAAACCACAAAGCTCATTACTGACTAAGTTGGCTAAATGAGTAAATGATTTAAAATAAAACAAAGAAAAAATAAATTACAAAAAAGTTAACATTGATGGTGGTTTTAGAACATTTCTTTAAACTCCGACACTCCTCCCAATGAAAAGTGAAACCTAATGTCTAATTTTTCTCCCCTTGACTGTGGGTCAGTCTGAGCTACTTGTGTCTAGCAAATGGAAGATGGCAGAAATGACACTGCAAGACATTCAAGCCTTGTTCAGAAAAAGCAATTCTGTTTTTGCCTGAATCTCTCTTGTGATGTTTGCCCGTGAAACTTAGTTGCCATGTTATGAGGAAGCCCAAGCCACAAACAGAGGCCATATGCAGGTGTCTGGTAAACAGCTCCAGCTGACTTCCAAGGTGAAAGTCAGCTTAACCAAGAAACATGGAAATGAATAAGTAAGTCTTCAAAAGATTCTAGTTCCCAGTTTTTAATCTGGCTCAAATGAGGCAGGATTGACCAGAAATAAGATGTCCCCATCAAATCTTGACTAAATTACAAGTTTGTGAACAAAATAAATGTTACTATTTTTCAGGCAATGACATTTTTGAGTGGTTTTATTATGTACCAACAGATAATTAGAACAATATCCTTTGCATATCAAGAGTTTAAATACAACTAAAAATTTAAAAACGGCTTGAAAATTTTATCAAAGATGGAAAGGTAATGCATAGGAAAACATATATGAATAATACACATACCCCCAAAATGCCCAGTAATATTAGTTATTGGAGAAATTAAAATTAAAAGGATATAGTGAAAACAATTATCTCTTATTAATTTGACAGTTTCAATTCCTCACAACAAAAAGATCTGGCTAGATAAATGATACATCAGATGTATTTAACTGCCATGTAAAATATGCATGAAATAATTGTTAAATCCCCAAATCAAGATGCTAAATTGGTGAAATTTCATTGTTTGGATAATAGACTATATGTCTATAAATGCACAGGAAGTTAGTTTAAGGTACAGGCATAAGAAAAATAAGAATTGGATTTTTATTGTATATATTACTGTATTTTTTCCCACAAAGATCATCTGTTACTTTTGTAATAATAAAGAGATCAATATTTATTAAAGTCCCATTCTGTGAAGGATTGTGGATGCTTTGGAATTGGTGCCAAGAGTGGAGGGTTTTGCATAGTAAGTGCAAGTCCCTATTGTGCTATTACCAAGAGAATCCATCCCTTAACCAGGTAAAATTACTCTTGAGTTTGGGTTTCATTTTGTGTTCTCTGCTCCCATAATCAATTATACCTGTGGTCCTCAGACAAGTAAAAGCCAGAAAAAGTGGGCTTAAAGGAATTCAAAGAATGCCTGGGTCAAGGCTACTATTGACCCAAAGGAAATAGCTGTGAAGAGTATATATTTTTCCCATTTCTGGTCTTGATTTTTATTTTATTTTTTTCCCCTAGAACACAATCCATTTTGAATACATGTGATAAAAGCAACGCACATATGATTTTTAGTACTGGAAAAAAATAAGTAAAAATAAATCCATTCTGAATTAATCAGAGACTACCTACTGAACATCTGATATGTGCAAGCACTGTTATTGGTAGCCCAGATGATTATTTTGCAGAGTGATGTTGAGACAAGAAGTATTACCAAATGCTCTACACAGAGAAAAACTCCAGTAAGTATTCACTTAATTTCATTGATAGGTTCTTGGTATTGGGACTCAGAGAAAAATCCACCAAAATGAAGGCCTCAGAAGCAAAACTTTTTTTCTCTTAGCTTCCCCCGCTCTCCTGTCTCTCAGTCCCATTGTCCCTTGAGGCTTTAATATAGAACTAGGATTTCTCTTCCCCAAGGTAGGTCATAGAAACCAGAACCTCTTTTCCCAAAGCTAGCCATAAAATCTAAAAGATCTAAAAATATCACTCAAAGTTTCTCTCTGCCTTTCTGTGTAAAAAAAACTGGTCCCCCCAAAATGATCTGACTTACCTCGTTTGACTGTAAGTCACAAGACCCCCATTCCAGAGAGGGCCCTTCCCCAGGCCCAGAAGGAAAGAATGCATGCTCAGAGAGGCTGAGAAAAATCTAGACAGAGAGGCCTTACTGGATTTTCCCATTCAGTCTATTAGCATTAGACTGTATTTCTACACAGTTGTTCATACTTTGTTGAACCTAAGCATAAAAATGGACAATTTTCCCTGTATTTTGGGGTCTTCATTCAGAAGGCTCCCATGTCACGTGAAATTATGATCACATAAATTTGTATGCCTTTTCCCTTATGACTGTGCCTTTTGTGAGTTGATTTCTCAGCAAAATTTCAGAGGGACAAGTCTTGACCCTTACAATGGAAATTGCAACTTTAAGTGAAATGACACACAGCAGGTCCTCAAATAATGTGCCCCACTAAAGTGGTAAATGGTGTTCAGCCCTCATTAGAGATGATAATCATGCTCTTTAACCTAGCTCCTTATAATTATGGTACCTCTCTAATGAAGTGAAAATAATGGTATCTGCTTGGATTTTTTCCCTCACTGAAATAATTTTATAACTGCATAAACATCATAATCTTCTGAATAGCATAATAATTGTTAATATAAGGCAAAAATGATTATAAAGCCTTAGGACATAAAAAGCACATGAAACTTTCTCCAGGTTAGAGCATACAAAGGCCAAAAAACATGATTCAATAATTTTATAGGATTCTATAGCACAGTAGAGTAACTATGATTAACAATAATTTATCATATATTTCAAAATAGCTACAAGAAAGGATTTTGGATGTTCTGAACATAAAGATTTGACAAATGTTTGAGGTGATAGATATGCCAATTATCCCAATTTGATAATTACATGTTATACACATGTAAGTTTCATTGTCTTTTACTTCACAATATGCGAGACAACACATGTACCTTATATGTACAATTATTGTATCAATTAAACATGAATAAAATAATAATTTTAAAGCATTGCTATGATACAAAGTATGCTCTCCAACCACAATAGAATGAAATTAGAAATCAAACAGAGATATTTGGGAAATTTTTTAAATGTGGAAACTAAACAATACACTCCTAAGTAATCAATGGGTCAAGTAGAACTCATAAGGGAAATTAGAAAATATTTTGAGATTAATAAAAGTGAAAATACAACATAATAAAATGTTGAGATGGTGCTCCAATCTTAAACTAGAGAAAGTACAGCAAACTAAATCCAAATAGGTAGAAGGAAGAAGATAATAAAGCACAGAGTAGAAATCATGAAATAGAGAATAGAAAAATAATGGGCAAAATAAAGAACCCTAAATGTTAGTTATCTGAAACCATCAACAAAATCAATAAATGTGTAGTTAGACTAACCAAGAAATAAAAGACTCAATTATTGAAGTCAGAGGTGAAAGACGGAATGTGAATACCAACCTTATAAAAATAAAAATGACCCTAAGACAACACCATGAATAAAAATATGCTAACAAAGGAGAGAAGTTAGATGAAGTGGGAAAATTCCTAGGAAGGCACAATTTTGAAACTAACTCATGAAGAAACAGAGAATTTGAAGAGATGCATTACAAGTAAAAGAAATGCATTATTCTCACCATTATTTAATGGATGAGGTAACTACAGTTTAGAGATATTATTTATCCTAAATCATACAATTTGATGCATAGTAAAAAATGAAACCCAGTCTGTCTGCTTCTTAAAACCAGGCTCTTTCCAAACAACATTTAAGGCCCCAAATCAAATGTCCCACCTGTGAAAAAAGGATTCCCATTGAGCAGTGATTCTCATAATGTGGCCCTAGGGTCAGTAGCATCAGTAACACCTGGGAACTTGTCCGAACTCTAAATTCCCAGGCTCCACACAGACGTTTTGAATCTGAGAGCAGAGCTCTGTTTGAACAAGACTTCCAGGTGATTCTGGTAGACTATAAAGTTTGAGAACACTCATATAAACACAGCCAATATTGGGAGCACTTCTTTAGAAAATAAGATATTGAGGATGTCCTACTCTCTTTTACATTTTTTTAGGTTCTAAAGCTATCCTTCCGAAGAACAGCATCTCTTTTTAAAGTGACAAAGCAATTTTCATTGATGTTTGTAAATAGTTTTAATTAATGGAGCTATAAAATATAAGGAAAATTTAGCAAATCTCCCAGTTTGTATCAAGAACTGAGACAGTTCTAGGAAGCTGAGATTTGTTAGGATATAAAGAAGGCCTCACCCCACCCTCAAAAGTGAGAGACTTATCCCAGTATTTTGAGCCTGGCCCTGGGAGTTAGGCACAATACGTTGACGCCAAAAGCTTCAAGTCTCTACTTTGGAAGGAAGTGTCTTTTAGGTTTCCAAGGAAACAGAGATCATGTTTGAATCCTTACTTGAGCTGAATCCAATTCTAAAAATCACCAGGATCTATACCCAGAGGCATAGAATAAAATGGCTCAGGAGAAAAATAAAGTATTCCACCTGGCCACCATGGAGAAGACAAAATAATAGGTAAAAGCAACAATTTGCCAACTACACAAGTTCTCCCAATTATATGGTATAATTTTAAAAAATGGATTATTTCTAATCACCACTGCCACATATAGAGTTAACTGGAGGCAGAGAAGCAGATTCTCAGCATTTAAAACTATGTGCCTCAGGGAGATTCAAATGCACAATTGAAAATATCTTCGGAGGAAGCCCACACAGCATCAGGCAGGAGTGCAGTTTCTAAGTAATTCATAGCTGACTCTAGGGCTGGTCTGCGTGTGCATAAATACGCAATCATATATGCCAGTGTATAGATTAGTATATAAATATACATAATATATATAAAACATTAAGAGACTGAATATAGATCACATCAATTAAGAATTTCCCACATAAAAAATAAAATCTGAATTGAAGACAAAACAAGAAATTCCCTGGAGCCTTGTATTTTTAAAAAGTGATAAACTCAGCCAAACAACACATCTCAATAAAAAAACACATAATCTTAGCTAGCTGTGCCAAATGTGGTGGACCATGAAACACTCTAGGAGACTGACCTCTAAAGTATCAGCACTGATCATCAGTAAAATTTATTTATCCTATGACTTTTCAGTTAAGAAAGAATAAAAGGCACTCAGGATAGTAGAGTATTTTATCATTTTATTTTTAAAAGAAAAGTATCCATTTCAATATTGCACTGATGACTTTATTGTATTGTTTTAAAGGTGTCTCCATCAGTTATGAAAATATGAAAGTAGTTATACATATTTTTAAATTAATAGGCATTTTTAAAGCAGTTTTACATTTACATGACTTTCTCTGCAGAAAGTACAGAGAGTTCCCACATACTCCTTCCCCCGTCCCCCACCCTCCACAGTTTCTCTTGTTATTAACATCTTGTGTTTGTGTGGTACATTTGTGACAATTGATGAGTCAATGTTGATGCATTATTACTTACTAAAGGGAATAGTTTTCATTAGGCTCGCTTTTTGTGTTGTACATTCTGTGATTTTTGATGCATGAATAATGATATGTGTCTACCATTACCGTATTGCAAAAAATAGTTTTACCACCCTGAAAATCCTTTCTGCTCTATCTATTCATTGCCCAACCCTCTACTCAACCCCCAGCCCTGACCCTCTGGCAACCACTGATCTTTTTACTGTCTCCATAGTTTTGCCTTTTTCATAATGCCATGTAGTTAGAATCATACAGTAAGTAGCATTTTTAGATTGGCTTCTTTCACTTAGCAAAATGCTCTTAAGATTCATACATGCCTTTTTGTGGCTTGGTAACTATTTCTTTTTCTTAAATCACTGAATAATATGCTATTGTATAAAATATACCAAAGATTGTTTATCCATTCACCTAATGAAGGACATCTTGGTTGCTTCCAATTTTTGGCAATTATGAATCAATCTTGTATAAACATTCATGTGTAGGTTTTCTATTAATACCACCATTAGTTATAAAAGGGTCTATGTAATATTTTAATTGACACACATTTTTGGGGAAAAATGTATCTTTGCATCCGAAAGTATCTTAGGTTTTCTTATGCATACCAGACTGATGGAATTTCATCCTGCTTTTAGAAATTGGGATTGGAGAGGGAGAAAAAGTAGAATCAAAGAAGCTCATGATCAGGAAGAACGCTGGTAGCCATTTGGGTCAGCCCCTGTGTCCTCAAGTCCATGTTTGAATTCTCTCACATTTCTCTTATATTCATACATCCACTGCTGAATATAGTTTTCTTTTTGGCACACTGAATTTTTTTAAATATTACTTTTTAGATTGCACTGTCTGAATTTCTATTTCTTAGGGCTACACAGAAATAGTAGACTTAATCATCTCTCTGGCAGCTTGAGATTTTTGAAGACATTTCCACATTTGCCCAGTTCCTTCAAGCTTTCTTTGGATATGTTTCTGAGTCTTTTCATCAGTATGATCTATTCATGATTCTGGTTCAATTTTATGCCAGATTTTCACATTATTTCTACCTAAATGCAGGGAATTAATATATGTCATCCTACAAGTTAATTAGATAACATACAACGCTAAAAATTTTGGTTTTTTATTGCTTTAATGACAAAATCAAGCTAAGAATATGGCATAACTCACTGTTTATAGATCATGTTTGTTATTTGCATTGTCTACTAGAAAGATTGACATTTGCAGACATAATCTTAAAACCATGGCAAAAAAATTAAGAGTACTGTTTAAGGTTAAGGGGAAAATATAAAACTTTAGAATATCTCTCATTTAAGTGGATACAAAGTTGCAAAATTCCATAGTAAATTTATTCTATAAAAGACCAAACAATAACAAAAACCCAGAAAGATATGCAGTGGATTAAAATCACAATTTCTATATTAATTACAATGGTTGCAGTGGGTCTCAGATTGGAAAAACAGAACAGTGAATGGCGAATTAGAATAAAAGTTCTAGAAATTTCCAATTAAAAGTTTAAAATATATGGAAGAAATTCATACAGCAAAAAAAAAGAGAACTGGAGATCAATTAGAAGAAATAATATGTAAGAGAATATTGAGAAAACAAAAGAAAAAAAAGAAAACCTCTAAGATTTAAAGTCAAAGGAAACGCTAAATAGTGAATGAAATTATAGAACAGAAAGCATTCCGCTATACATATACAGGTAACCTTGTACATTCAACTAAAAAGAGATTAAACGTTTTCACAAATATCTAGGAATGAAAATCTCACAATTTATAAATAAAAAATCAGTTATAATCAAACGTCTCTTTTACAACATTAATAATAAAGTTTATCAAATTCTAAAGAAAAATAAGGAGAAAAGTTTATACCTGAGGAAAAAAGCTATAAAGACCACAACAGAAATGAAGACAAAAAGGAAACAAAAGCATAATAGAGAGAATTAATGAAGCCAAAAATTGGTAATTTGAAGAAAAGCAATGAAATTGATAAACCTCTGGGAAGCCTGATCAACAAAGCAAACAATAAGAAAACATGAATTATAAATATTAGCAATGAAAGATATACCTCACTGTGGATTCCAAAGATATTATAATGATAATGAAAGGATTCTACAAAACAATTTATGACAATAAATATGGAAGTTTAAATTAAATGAACTATTTTCTAGACAGAAACACAGATTACCACAATTCACACAAGAAAACACAGAATGTCTTAATTATATCAAACCTATAAAATAAGTGGAATCCGTAATTTAAAATTTATGTATGCTCACGTACATATGTATGAACAAATAAGCCATCTCTATGACTAGCTGGGCTTTCATGTGAATTATTATTCTAAACTTTTAAAGGAGAAATATAATAAATGTTACACAATCTCTTCCAGTAAATTGAAATAATAAAAGAGGAATGTGTCAATTTGATGGTTATAACCCTGACGTAAAAGACAAGACAAAAGAAAGAAAAGATAAATAAGGGTTTTTAAAGAATGTCAAATCAAAGGACAATTTATCTCATAATTATACATGTGAAAGTCCCCAAATAAAACACTAACAAATCAAAATCAACCATGTATAACATAATACATCACCACCAAATGGAGTTTATTTAAGAAATGCAAGGTTGGTTTCATATTTTACATTTAATATAATTCTTCATTTGAACAGGAAAAATATAACATGTATTACAATATTTAATAATACCTGTTTATATATAATAATATATAATAATTATATCGTATTTCCAGATACATCTGTCTTTATAACAACACCCTATCTTAACACAGTAATAATGTAAGTAGTAGGTAGTCTAAATGTTTTTTAGTAGTTTTCTTTTTTCTCTATTTCTTCTAAAAAAGAAGGGTTACATGTGCAGAACGTGCAAGTTTGTTACATAGGTAGACATGTGCCATGGTGATAGGCTGCACCTATTGACCCATCTGCTAATTTCCCTCCCCTCACCCCCCACTCCACAACAGACCCTGGGGTGTGTTGTTCCCCTCTCTATGTCCATGTGTTCTCATTTTTCAACTCCCTCTTATGAGTGAGAAGATGCAGTGTATGGTTTTATGTTCCTGTGTTAGTTTGCTGAGGATGATGGCTTCCAGATTCATCCATGTTTATGCAAAGGGCATGATCTCCTTCCATTTTATGGCTGCATAGTATTTCAAAGTGTATATGTACCACATTTCTTCATCCAGTCTATCATTGGTGGGCATTTGGGTTGGTTCCATATCTTTGCTATTGAAAATAGTGCTGCAATAAACATACGTGTGCATGTGTCTTTATAGTAGAATGGTTTATATTCCTTTGGTACATATCCAGTAATGGGATTGCTGGGTCAAATTGTATTTCTGGTTCTAGTTCCTTGAGGAATTGCCATACTGTCTTCCACAATGGTTGAACTAATTTACATTCCCACTAACAGTGTAAAAGCATTCCTATTTCTCCACAGCCTCGCCAGCATCTATTGTTTCCAGACTTTTTAATAATTGCCCTCAGATTGGTGTGAGATGGTAGCTCCTCGTGGTTTTGATTTGCATTTCCCTGATGATCAAGGATGTTGAGCTTTTTTGTGTATGTTTGCTGGCCATGTAAATGTCTTCTTTTGAGATGTGTCTGTTCATATCCTTTGCTCACTTTTTGATGGAGTTGTTTTTTTCTTATAAATTTGTTTAAGTTCCTTGTAAATTCTGAATATTAGACCTTTGTCAGATGAATAAATTGCAAAAACCTCCCATTCTGTGGGTTGCCTGTTCACTCTGATGATAGTTTCATTTGCTCTGCAGAAGCTCGTTAGTTCAATTAAATTCTATTTGTCAATTTTGTGTTTTGTTGCGAATGTTTCTGGCGTTTTTGTCATGAAGTCTTTGCCCATGCCTATGTCCTGAATGGTATTGCCTAGGTTTTCTTCCAGGGTTTTAGGTATTACACTTAAGTCTTTAATTCATCTTGAGTTAATTTTTGTATAAGGTGTAAGGAAAGGGTTCAGTTTCACTTTTCTGCATATGGCTAGCCACTTTTCCCACCATTTATTGAATAGGAGATCCTTTCCCCATTGTTTGTTTTTGAAAGGTTTGTTGAAGATCAGATGGGTGTAGATGTGTGGTGTTAATTCTGAGGTCTCTGTTCTGCTCCATTGGTCTATATGTCTGTTTTGGTACCAGTATCATGCTGCTTTGGGTACTGTAGCCTTGTATTACAGTTTGAAGTCAAGTAGCATGAAGCCTCCAGCTTTGTTCTTTTTGCTTAGGATTGTTTTGGCTGTACAGAGTCTTCTTTGATTCCATATGAAATTTAAAATAGTGTTTTCTAATTCTGTGAAGAATGTCAATGGTAGTTTGATGGGAATAGTATTGAATCTATAAATTACTTTGAGCAGTATGGCTATTTTCATGATATTGATTCTTCCTATCCATCAGGATAGAATGTTTTTCTTTTCGTTTCTGTCCTATTTTATTTCCTTGAGCAGTGGTTTGTAGTTCTCCTGGAAGAGGTCCTTCACATTCCTTGTTAGCTCTATTCCTAGGTATTTCATTCACTTTGTAGTGATTTTGAATGGGAGTTCATTCATGATTTGGCTCTCTGCTTGCCTATTCTTGGTGTAAAGGAATGTTTGTGATTTATGCACACTGATTTTTGTATCCTGAGACTTTGCTGAAGGTGCTTATCAGTTCAAGAAGTTTTTGGGCTGAGATTATGGAGTTTTCTAAATATAGAATCATGTCATCTGCAAACAGAGACAACATGACTTCTTCTCTTCCTATTTGAATACGCTTTATTTCTTTCTCTTGCCTGATTGCCCTGGCCAGAACTTACAATACTATGTTGAATAGGAGTGGTGAGAGAGGGCATCCTTGTCTTGTACCAGTTTTCAAAGGGAATGCTTCCAGCTTTTGCCCATTCAATATGATATTGGCTGCGGGTTTGTCATAAATAGCTCTTATTATTTTGAGATATGTTCCATCAATACCTAGCTTATTGAGAGTTTTTAACATGAAAAGATGTTGAATTTTATCAAAGACCTTTTCTGCATCTATTGAGATAATCCTGTGGTTTTTGTCTTTGGTTCTGTTTATGTGATGGGTTATGTTTATTGGTTTGCGTATCTCGAACGAGCCTTGCATCCCAGGGATGAAGGCAACTTGATCGTGGTGGATAAGGTTTTTGATGTGCTGCTGGATTCGGTTTGCCAGTATATTATTGAGGTTTTTCACCTTGCTGTTCATCACATATATTGGCCTGAAGTTTTCTATGTTTGTTGTGTCTTATCCTGGTTTTGGTATCAGGATAATGCTGGGTTCATAAAATTAGTCAGTGAGGAGTCCCTCCTTTTCAACTGTTTGGAATAGTTTCAGAAGGAATGGTACCACTTCCTGTTTTTATTTCTGGTGGAATTCAGCTGTGAATCCATCTGGTCCAGGGCTTTTTTCGGTTTGTAGGCTATTAATTAGTGCCTCAATTTCAGAACTTGTTATTGGTGTATTCAGGGATTCGACTTCTTCCTGGTTTATTCTTGGGAGAGTGTGTGTGTCCAGGAATTTATCCATTTCTTCTAGATGTTCTAGTTTATTTGCATAGAGGTGTTTACAGTATTCTCTGATGGTAATTTGTATTTCTGTGGGGTCAGTGGTGATATCCTCTTTATCTTTTTTTTATTGTGCCTATTTGATTCTTCTCTCTTTTCTTCTTTATTAGTCTAGCTAGTGGTTTATCTATTTTGTTAATTTTTTCAAAAAACCAGCTCCTGGACTCATTGGTTTTTTGGAGGTTTTTTTTATGTCTCCATATCCTTCAATTCTTCTCTGATCTTAGTTATTTTTTGCCTTCTTTTAGCTTTTAGATTAATTTGCTCTTGCCTCGCTGGCTCTTTTAATTGTGATATTAGGGTGTCAATTTGAGATCTTTCTAGCTTTCTGACATGGGCATTTAGTACTATATATTTCCCTCTTAATACTGCTTTAGCTGTGTCCCAGATATTCTGGTATGTTGTCTCTTCATTCTCAGTGGTTTCAAAGAGCTTCTTGATCTCTGCTAAATTTCATTATTTACCCGGGAGTCATTCAGGAGCAGGTTGTTCAATTTCCATGAAATTGTGTGGTTTTGAGTGAGTTTCTTAATCCTGAGTTCTCATTTGATTGCACTGTGATCTGAGAGACTGTTTATTATTATTTCAGTTCTTTTGCATTTGCTGAGGAGTGTTTTACTCCCAATTATGTGGTCAATTTTAGAATAATTGCCATGTGGTACTGAGAAGGTATATTCTGTTGATTTGGGTAGAGAGTTCTGTAGATTTCTGCTAGGTGCACTTGATCCAGAGCTGAGTTCAAGAAGTCTCTTTGCAGGTCTCTAAGAACTTGTTCTATAAATCTGGGTGCTCCTGCATTGGCTGCATATATATTTAGAATAGTTTGCTCTTTTTGTTGAATTGTTCATTTTACCATTATGTAATGCCCTTTTTCATCTGTTGTGATTTTTGTGGTTTAAAGCCTGTTTTGTCAGAGACTAGGATTGCAACCCCTGCTTTTTTATTCTTTTCCTTTTTTTTTTTTTTTTTTTTGCTTTCCATTTGCTTGGTAAATTTTCCTCCATTTCTTTATTTTGAGCCTCTGTGTGTCTTTGCATGTGAGATTGGTCTCCTGAATACAGCACACCAATGGGTCTTGAATTCTTATCCAGTTTGCCAGTTTGTGTCTTTTAATTGGGGCTTTTAGCCCATTTACATTTAAGGTTAGTATTGTTATGTGTGAATTTGATCCTGTCATCATGAGGCTATTTGGTTATTTTGCACACTAATTGATGCAGTTTCTTCATAGTGTCATTGGTCTTTATATTTTGGTGTGTTTTTGCAGTGGCTGGTACCAGTTTTTCCTTTCCATATTTAGTGCTTCTTTCAGGAGCTCTTGCAGGGCAGGCCTGGTGGTAACAAAATCCCTCATTCTTTGCTCGTCTGGAAAGGATTTTATTTCTCCTTCACTTATGAATCTTAGTTTAGCTGGATATGAAATTCTGAGTTGAAAATTCTTTAAGAATTTAAGAATGTTGAATTCTTTAAGAATGTTGAATATTGGCCCCCAATGTCTTCTGGCTTGTAGAGTTTCTGCTGAGAGGTCTGCTGTTAGTCTGATGGGTTTCTGTTTGTAGGTGATCTGGCCTTTCTTTCTGGCTGCCCTTAACAGTTTTTCCTTTATTTTGACCTTGAAGTATCTGATGATTATGTGTCTTAGGGTTGATCTTCTTGTGGAATATCTTAGTGGTGTTCTCTGTATTTGCTGAATTTGCATGTTCGCCTGTCTTGCTAGGTTGGGGAAGTTCTCCTGGATAATAGTATTTTCTAGCTTGCTTCCATTCTCCCCATCTCCTTCTGGTACTCCAATCAATTATAGGTTCTTTTTATGAAGTGCATATTTTTTGGAGGCTTTGTTCATTCCTTTTTATTTTTTTTCTCTAGTCTTGTCTGCATCCCTTATTTCAGCAAGGTGATCTTCAAACTCTGCTATCCTTTCTTCCCCATGGTTGATTCAGCTATTTATACTTGTGTATGCTTCACAAAGTCCTTGTCCTGTGTTTTTCAGCTCCATCAGGTTGTTTATGTTCCTCTCTAAACTGGGTATTCTAGTTATTAATTCCTCTAACGTTTTATCAAGGTTCTTAGCTTCTTTGCATTGGGTTAGAACATGCTCCTTTAGCTCAGTGTCATTTTTTATTACCCATCTTCTGAAGCCTACTTCTGTCAATTCATCCATCTGATCCTCTGTTCAGTTCTGTGCCCTTGATGGAAAGACATTGCAATCATTTGGAGGAGAAGAGGCACTCTTGCCTTTTGAGTTTCAGCATATTTTCATTGATTCTTTCTCATCTTCATGAGTTTGTCTAATTTTGGTCTTTGAGGCAGCTGACCCTTGGATGGTGTTTTTGTGTGGGCTTTTTTTGTTGTCGTTGTTGATGGTGTTGTTGTTGCTTTCTGATTGATTATTTTTGTATAAGGTGTAAGGAAGGGATCCAGTTTCAGCTTTCTACATATGGCTAGCCAGTTTTCCCAGCACCATTTATTAAATAGGGAATCCTTTCCCCATTGCTTGTTTTTCTCAGGTTTGTCAAAGATCAGATAGTTGTAGATATGCGGCATTATTTCTGAGGGCTCTGTTCTGTTCCATGGATCTATATGTCTGTTTTGGTACCAGTACCATGCTGTTTTGGTTACTGTAGCCTTGTAGTATAGTTTGAAGTCAGGTAGTGTGATGCCTCCAGCTTTGTTCTTTTGGCTTAGGATTGACCTGGTGATGCAGGCTCTTTTTTGGTTCCATATGAACTTTACAGTAGTTTTTTCCAATTATGTGAAGAAAGGCATTGGTAGCTTGATGGGTATGGCATTGAATCTGTAAATTACCTTGGGCAGTATGGCCATTTTCACGATATTGATTCTTCCTACCCATGAGCATGGAATGTTCTTCCATTTGTTTGTATCCTCTTTTATTTCCTTGAGCAGTGGTTTGTAGTTCTCCTTGAAGAGGTCCTTCACATCCCTTGTAAGTTGGATTCCTAGGTATTTTATTCTCCTTGAAGCATTGTGAATGGAAGTTCACTCATGATTTGGCTCTCTGTTTGTCTGTTATTGGTGTATAAGAATGCTTGTGATTTTTGTACATTGATTTTGTATCCTGAGACTTTGCTGAAGTTGCTTATCAGCTTAAGGAGATTTTGGGCTGAGACGATGGGGTTTTCTAGATATACAATCATGTCATCTGCAAACAGGAACAATTTGACTTCCTCTTTTCCTAATTGAATACCCTTTATTTCCTTCTCCTACCTAATTGCCCTGGCCAGAACTTCCAACACTATGTTGAATAGGAGTGGTGAGAGAGGGCATCCCTGTCTTGTGGCAGTTTTCAAAGGGAATGCTTCCACTTTTTGCCCATTCAGTATGATATTGGCTGTGGGTTTGTCATAGATAGCTCTTATTATTTTGAAATATGTCCCATCAATACCTAATTTATTGAGAGTTTTTAGCATGAAGGGTTGTTGAATTTTGTCAAAGGCTTTTTCTGCATCTATTGAGATAATCATGTGGTTTTTGTCTTTGGCTCTGTTTATATGCTGGATTACATTTATTGATTTGCGTATATTGAACCAGCCTTGCATCCCAGGGATGAAGCCCACTTGATCATGGTGGATAAGCTTTTTGATGTGCTGCTGGATTCGTTTTGCCAGTATTTTATTGAGGATTTTTGCATCAATGTTCATCAAGGATATTGGTCTAAAATTCTCTTTTCTTGTTGTGTCTCTGCCTGGCTTTGGTATCAGAAAGATGCTGGACTCATAAAATGAGTTAGGGAGGATTCCCTCTTTTTCTGTTGATTGGAATAGTTTCAGAAGGAATGGTACCAGTTCCTCCTTGTACCTCTGGTAGAATTCAGCTGTGAATCCATCTGGTCCTGGACTCTTTTTGGTTGGTAAGCTATTGATTATTGCCACAATTTCAGATCTTGTTATTGGTCTATTAAGAGATTCAACTTCTTCCTGGTTTAGTCTTGGGAGAGTGTATGTGTCAAGGAATTTATCCATTTCTTCTAGATTTTCTAGTTTATTTGCGTAGAGGTGTTTGTAGTATTCTCTGATTTTAGTTTGTATTTCTGTGGAATCGGTGGTGATATCCCCTTTATCATTTTTTATTGCGTCTATTAGATTCTTCTCTCTTTTTTTCTTTATTAGTCTTGCTAGCGGTCTATCAATTTTGTTGATCCTTTCAAAAAACCAGCTCCTGGATTCATTAATTTTTTGAAGGGTTTTTTGTGTCTCTATTTCCTTCAGTTCTGCTCTGATCTTAGTTATTTCTTGCCTTCTGCTAGCTTTTGAATGTGTTTGCTCTTGCTTTTCTAGTTCTTTTAATTGTGATATTAGGGTGTCAATTTTGGATCTTTCCTGCTTTCTCTTGTGGGCATTTAGTGCTATAAATTTCCCTCTACACACTGCTTTAAATGTGTCCCAGAGATTCTGGTATGTTGTGTCTTTGTTCTCATTGGTTTCAAAGAACATCTTTATTTCTGCCTTCATTTCGTTATGTACCCAGTAGTCATTCAGGAGCAGGTTGTTCAGTTTCCATGTAGTTGAGCGGTTTTGAGTGAGATTCTTAATCCTGAGTTCTAGTTTTATTGCACTGTGGTCTGAGAGATAGTTTGTTATAATTTCTGTTCTTTTACATTTGCTGAGGAGAGCTTTACTTCCAAATATGTGGTCAATTTTGGAATAGGTGTGGTGTGGTGCTGAAAAAAATGTCTATTCTGTTGATTTGGGGTGGAGAGTTCTGTAGATGTCTATTAGGTCCGCTTGGTGCAGAGCTGAGTTCAATTCCTGGGTATCCTTGTTGACTTTCTGTCTCGTTGATCTGTCTAATGTTGACAGTGGGGTGTTAAAGTCTCCCATTATTAATGTGTGGGAGTCTAAGTCTCTTTGTAGGTCACTCAGGACTTGCTTTATGAATCTTGGTGCTCCTGTATTGGGTGCATATATATTTAGGATAGTTAGCTCTTCTTGTTGAATTGATCCCTTTACCATTATGTAATGGCCTTCTTTGTCTCTTTTGATCTTTGCTGGTTTAAAGTCTGTTTTATCCGAGACTAGGATTGCAACCCCTGCCTTTTTTTGTTTTCCATTTGCTTGGTAGATCTTCCTCCATCCTTTTATTTTGAGCTTACGTGTGTCTCTGCACGTAAGATGTGTTTCCTGAATACAGCACACTGATGGGTCTTGACTCTTTATCCAATTTGCCAGTCTGTGTCTTTTAATTGGAGCATTTAGTCCATTTACATGTAAAGTTAACATTGTTATGTGTGAATTTGATCCTGTCATTATGATGTTAGCTGGTTATTTTGCTTATTAGTTGATGCAGTTTCTTCCTAGTCTTGATGGTCTTTGCATTTTGGCATGATTTTGCAGTGGCTGGTACCAGTTGTTCCTTTCCATGTTTAGCACTTCCTTCAGGAGCTCTTTTAGGGCAGGCCTGGTGGTGACAAAATCTCTCAGCATTTGCTTGTCTGTAAAGGATTTTATTTCTCCTTCACTTATGAAGCTTAGTTTGTTTGGATATGAAATTCTGGGTTGAAAATTCTTTTCTTTAAGTATGTTGAATATTGGCCCCCACTCTCTTCTGGCTTGTAGGGTTTCTGCTGAGAGATCCGCTGTTAGTCTGATGGGCTTCCCTTTGAGGGTAACCCGACCTTTCTCTCTGGCTGCCCTTAACATTTTTTCCTTCATTTCAACTTTGGTGAATCTGACAATTATGTGTCTTGGAGTTGCTCTTCTTGAGGAGTATCTTTGTGGCGTTCTCCATATTTCCTGAATCTGAACGTTGGCCTGCCTTGCTGGATTGGGGAAGTTCTCCTGGATAATATCCTGCAGAGTTTTTTCCAACTTGGTTCCATTCTCCCCATCACTTTCAGGTACACCAATCAGACGTAGATTTGGTCTTTTCACATAGTCCCATATTTCTTGGAGGCTTTG
This sequence comes from Homo sapiens, assembly GCF_000001405.40. Taxonomy (NCBI): domain Eukaryota; kingdom Metazoa; phylum Chordata; class Mammalia; order Primates; family Hominidae; genus Homo; species Homo sapiens. The sequence continues at coordinate 81,771,908 of NC_000010.11, forward strand.
CTCATTTCTTTTTATTCTTTTTTCTCTAAACTTCCCTTCTCACTTCACTTCATTCATTTCATCTTCCATTGCTGATACCCTTTCTTGCAGTTGATCGCATCGGCTCCTGAGGCTTCTGCATTCTTCATGTAGTTCTCGAGCCTTGGTTTTCAGCTCTATCAGCTCCTTTAAGCACTTCTCTGTATTGGTTATTCTAGTTATACATTCTTCTAAATTTTTTTCAAAGTTTTCAACTTCTTTGCCTTTGGTTTGAATGTCCTCCCGTAGCTCAGAGTAATTTGATCGTCTGAAGCCTTCTTCTCTCAGCTTGTCAAAGTCATTCTCCATCCAGCTTTGTTCCGTTGCTGGTGAGGAACTGCGTTCCTTTGGAGGAGGAGAGGCGCTCTGCTTTTTAGAGTTTCCAGTTTTTCTGTTGTTTTTTCCCCATCTTTGTGGTTTTATCTACTTTTGGTCTTTGATGATGGTGATGTACAGATGGGTTTTTGGTGTGGATGTCCTTTCTTTTTGTTAGTTTTCCTTCTGACAGACGGGACCCTCAGCTGCAGGTCTGTTGGAATACCCTGCCGTGTGAGGTGTCAGTGTGCCCCTGCTGGGGGGTGCCTCCCAGTTAGGCTGCTCAGGTGTCAGGGGTCAGGGACCCACTTGAGGAGGCAGTCTGCCCATTCTCAGATCTCCAGCTGTGTGCTGGGAGAACCACTGCTCTCTTCAAAGCTGTCAGACAGGGACATTTAAGTCTGCAGAGGTTACTGCTGTCTTTTTGTTTGTCTGTGCCCTGCCCCCAGAGGTGGAGCCTACAGAGGCAGGCAGGCCTCCTTGAGCTGTGGTGGGCTCCGCCCAGTTTGAGCTTCCCAGCTGCTTTGTTTACCTAAGAAAGCCTGGGCAATGGTGGGCGCCCCTCCCCCAGCCTCGCTGCCGCCTTGCAGTTTGATCTCAGACTGCTGTGCTAGCAATCAGCGAGATTCCGTGGGCATAGGACCCTCCAAGCCAGGTGTGGGATAGAATCTCGTGGTGCGCCGTTTTTTAAGCCCGTCGGAAATGCGCAGTATTCGGATGGGAGTGACCCGATTTTCCAGGTGCCGTCCATCACCCCTTTCTTTGACTCGGAAAGGGAACCCCCTGACCCCTTGCGCTTCCCAAGTGAGGCAATGCCTCGCCCTGCTTCGGCTCGCGCACGGTGCGCACACCCACTGACCTGCGCCCATTGTCTGGCACTCCCTAGTGAGATGAACCCGGTACCTCAGATGGAAATGCAGAAATCACCCGTCTTCTGCGTCGCTCACGCTGGGAGCTGTAGACTGGAGCTGTTCCTATTCGTCCATCTTGGCTCCTCCCCCTCGTATTTTATCATTTTAAAGAATTCTATTTTAAATATATTTAGTTAAACTCCATTTGTCTTTTAAATTTATGTTTTTACCTGTAGTAATTACTTTCATCTTCTTACCTCAAGTATATTTTTAATCTGCCTTTTTATGACTTCCTCAATTACATGTTTAGTTCATTTACTTTCACATTTTTCATTTAATAATACAAAGGAAGTCAAGATATGATTTTGCCAACAAGTACAACTTTGACCAGATGCCTAGACTCCCCGTCTCCCTCATTTCTTAGACAATATGTCTTCTCAAATGTAATTGAGAGTGCGTTTTTTCCCTCATTCTCATGGGTTAAGTCTATTAAGTAAAGATTTTTCATTGTTCTTCATAGAATAAAATCTACATATTCTCCTGATTTGAAATGGACTTTGTCACAGATTTTATAGGTTATGCTTCAAAGATTTAAATGTAAATCATAGCGATGAGGAGAATGTCATAATGTCTAGAGACTTTATTATGATAGAGGCTCTAGTAAGCCTATTAATTATTGAAAAGGACTTAAATTTGGATGCAATTTGTTGAATAACAGTTTATGAGTTACTTTTTCTGTGTGTAGCAGATGTCTTTAAAATCTGCTCTTTTAAACCACAGGTGATTGCAGTTGCTTCTGCTCCTAAGGGAATTATCTCTAGAGGTGACAGCTGGTTATATTAACAAAATCCTTTGAAATTGAGCTGTGCATGTGAAAAGTGAAGTCCATAGAGTTTAGATGGAGTATCAAAACAAATAAATATTTAAACTGTTTAGCTAAAAAGTTACAGGGACATTTTCAGTGTGGGAAAGTAGGGAAGGGAAGTGAGGCAAGTGAGCTGGAAGGGAAGGAAAAAGGGACAAGCAGCATAAAGAGGCGACCTGAGAAATATCAGCCCCTGTACAATTCAGAACAGTCCATGAATATTTATTTATTTACTTATTTAAAAAATGTTTTTGAGACAGAGTCTCACTCTAGAGTCTCACTCTGTCACCCAGGCTGGAGTGTAGTGGTGTGGTCTCAGCTCATTGCAACCTCCACCTCCCAGGTTCAAGTGATTCTCCTGCCTCAGCCTCCCAAGTAGCTGGGATTTCAGGCACATGCTGCCACATCCAGCTAATTTTTATATTTTTTTAGTAGTGACAGGGTTTCACCATGTTGGTCAGGCTGCTCTCGAACTTTTGGCCTCAGGCGATCTGCCCACCTCAGCCTCCCAAAGTGCTGGGATTACAGGCGTGAGCCACCACACCTGGCCCAGCCCATTAATATTTAAAAGCATTGGTGTCAAGTATTTAATCTTAAACATTGTTCCATGGTATTTTTCTGTCATCTTATTCCTTTCCATTCCACTGAAGCTTCATTAAAAGCAACTACTAGCAACAGCCTATAGTAAGAGGGATTACAGGAAATCAAGGGCATTCGTTCAGTTCATATTCTTCCTTTCAGTTGTAGCACAGAGGAATGGACATGTGGTCTAGATTTCAGATACAGGAAAGTTTACCTGGAGGTGACTATAAGAAGTGGCAAGGGCACAGTCCTCTCATCAAAATTAGGCTATTCACATACATTTTGAATAAACGATATGGATTCTAACTGATATGACTATCATTATTAAGGTTCTACATTGTCAATATTCCTGCCTTGCCTGGCGTGCATTGACTCCAATAAAAGCTTGAAAGGGAGTTAAGGAGCCAAAAAAATTGAGCGCCAACACCTAACATATTTCTTTGTATATCTTAACCTTTTTAAGGTTAAGCTTTCCCCTTCGCCAATCATTCCATGATTTACTTTTTTTTTTTTTTTTTTTTTTTTTTTTTTTTTTTTTTGAGACAAAGTCTCCCTCTGTTGCCCAGGCTGGAGTGCAGTGGCATGATCTCGGCTCTTTGCAACCTCTGATTCCTGGGTTCAAGCAATTCTCCTGCCTCAGCCTCCCAAGTAGCTGGGATTACAGACACGTGCCACCATGCCTGGCTAATTTTTTGTAATTTTAGTAGAGGCGGAGTTTCACCATGTTGGCCAGGCTGGTCATGAACTCCTGACCTCAAGTGATCCACCTGCTTTGGCCTTGCAAAGAGCTGGCATTACAGGCTTCAGCCACCGCACCCGGCCCCATAATTTACTCTCGATTCCAGCTTTTTGTTGCCACCTCCTCGTCAAAGGACTAAGATGAGCTAAGATAGAGAATTTAAGATATTATTGTGTGCATTCCATTCCTGCATAACCATAGTGGAACTCTCTTTGCTGTCACTAAATATAGAGACTTTATTTCTGTTTCTTACTATCCAGTCTCACCAGCAACATATTTTGTAGGAAATCTGCCAAGTTCCTGACTCATAGATGCAAGCTTCTATATTTTACAGGTTGATAGAGTTTGTTTATTTTAATATTTCTTTGTGTGTGTGTGTGAAGACCCCACATTTAGGTTACCTGATGCACAGTAAGCCCAACACTAACATATTAGTGCTTAGGAGCAGAGAAAGGTTTGATTTGGCTAAAGTGTGAGGGTGGGAGAGACAAATTTGTCAAATCCAGCATGCCTTTGAATATAACTGGCAGCTCTTATGAGTAAGGTAGGTAGTGGGAGGTGAGATGCCCTGAGGATCAAATCTGCTGTGTCTCTTGGTCCAGTCAAACTTCTGGACAGCATCAAAAAGTCTCCATGACCTAAGAATCATTGTTCTTTGAAAGAAAACCAAGTGCATTACTTTTTCAGGTAGCCACTAGGGGTTAGGATATTGGCCAATTATTCGTGACTACTCTCTACTGAAATGAATATGTGCAAGCAAGCATGCACACAGGAAAAAAAAAGGACAAAGAAAAAGGAGAATAAGTAAAACAAACGTCTTAGATTTTTATAATATAGGCTCAGTAACAATTTTGGAAAGAAATTGAACAGTCTCAAATCACTGTTTGAAAACGAAAGCTAATTTTTCTAAAGAGGAATGAAATCTAGCCAGCCTTGTTCTTGGCTATTTGAACAGTATCTCTCTCACATTCTTTGTTTTTTCTTCCCAGTACACCATCACATGATTCATTCAAGGCTTGCAGCCTCACGCTTGGAACTTATCCGTAGACTCCTACTTCTAGTTTATGAGAAATGTCACTCCATATTCACATTAAAGGTGGATTTTCCCTGTCCATGCCATATATCAGGGAAAAGTACACTGTTTTCTAAATAATATTTCTCTAAGCTCCCTAATTAAAATAGTTTACTATCTGTCATTCTTATTTAAAGAATCATTGGTATCAGTGTATAAAGAAATAAACTTATTTCGCTCACATTAGCTCAAATATGGGCTCCTTAGCAAATGTCTATAGAATACCCATGCTTTGTGTTTTAGTTTACAGATTGTTTTTCATATGTACTACATCATGATGCTTAAGGGTCCTTCTCTGTCTCTGCAATGCGGCTCCTTAGGCCACTGCTCAATGGCATCTCTTTTGAAAGCCCACGCCATGTTCCTCACAACTCTCTCTATACTTCCCTGTTCTACCACCTGGGACACTACTTCACGTCCCTCAAGGACTTTAGCACCTGCCTCCCACCCTTACTTTCCAGCCCATTTGATCTCTGCTATTTTTCCAAGTGACCCACGTCATTAAGGGGGTGTCCCTGCTAACTGTCAATCTCACAGTTCCTGGGTCTCCTCAACAAAAGTCTTCAATTCCATCAGTCCACACCTCTGTGGAGGCATAGCTCTATTTCAGCCTTGTCCTCGCCAAAAACATCCTACATACAAACTTTCTTAAGCAAAGTTTTCCCCTCTGATCAAATCTCAAGCCCAATATTCATTTAGCCATTCACTAATTTATTTACTGTCCCTAATGACTCCCTGCCATGTTTCATCAACCCTAGATCCACTATCAGGCAACTGAACCCCCACTTTCTGCTCATTAGAGTAGGTCCTGCTCGAGTCCTAAGCCCCAAATCTTATTATAAAAATTTAATCACTTTATAACATAGCACTAAAAGCATCTAACTGGTGAAAATTCTTTTATGCTTCTCTCTGATTTTGTAGATTTTGAGATAAGATTTTTAAGGAGAAAAATCCAAGGAAGAATGCACCCATTATTAGTACATGAGGATACTTGAGAATGTTAACATTTTGATAACAGACAGACATTAAGAAAATATTTCATGTTATTTTATCAATGTATTCTAGTAGCCCATGTACAACATGTAAATGAACTCGTAAACATAATTTCCACATTCAAGGGAAATGGAAGACGTAATTTGTTACTTACTGCATAATGGGGAAAATGGAAATTTATAAAACCACCTAAAGAACTTTAAATATATCAGTGCCTGGACCCCATGACATATCAATTAAATCAAAATATCTGTGGAGGGGTTTAGGCATTCGTATTTATTCTAATTTGTACAGGTGAGTTATAAGACTCATCCAGGGTTGAGAAGTACTCATCTATGTAAAAGATCTACTAACTCTGACAGTAGATCGTTCTGAGAACCATCAGAAGCCGTGGCAGTGTTAAGGGTTCACATGTTTATTTTCTATTTCCTGAGATTTAATTTGCCCAGATGGCTTCCTAATTGATTTGTTTTGCTTCAGGTTAGTTGAAAATCTCACTCATTCAAAATGAACCCAAAATGTACCATGCATTTTAATTACTGTGGTGATTTTAGCTTAAATCTAAGCTTTTATCATACAGTGATAAGAACATACAGAACTTCTGCTAATGTGGAATAACACTTGAAAATTAAAATATTGGTTTCCAATTTCAGCTTTTCACACAGAATCGTGATTTTATTGTTTATTAGCTAATGTATTCAGAATGACTCAACAGTAGTCCACCTTTATCTGGGCTTTGCTGTCTGTAGTTTCACTTACCCATGGTCAACTACTGTCTGAAAATATTAAGTAGAAATTAATTAAATGGAAATTTCCTGAAATAAACAACTCATAAGTTGCACACCATTCTGAGTATTGTGACAAAATCACATGCTGTCTACTTTGTAGAGTCACTATTTGTCCAGTGACTTCATGCTGTCTACACCACCTGCCCTTTGTCACTTACTAGCCCTTTTGGTTACCAGAATGACTGTTCAGATAGCCCAATACTTGTGGTCAAGTAACTCTTATTTTACTTAATAGTGGCCCCAAAGTATAATAGTAGTGATGCTGGCAGCTCAGCTATGCCAAAAAAGAAGCTATAATGTACTTCCTTTAAGTTGAAAGGTGAAAGTTCTTGACTTAATAAGCAAAGAATAAAAGACCATATGCTAAGGTCACTAAGCTCTATAGTAATAATGAATCTTCTATCTATGAAATTGTGAACAATATATTGTTATAAGTGTTCTATTTTATTATTAATTGTTATCTCTTACTGAGCCAGTTTATAAATTAAACTTTGTCATAGGTATGTATATATAGAAAAAACATAGTTTATATAGGGTTTAGGATTCAGTATTATTTCTGGTTGCAAGCATCCACTAGGGGTCTTGGGACATATCCCCCCCAGGGAAAGGAGGGGACTACTGTAACTATTTTGTTTTCAAAGAAGCATTCTCAGTTAAGCCTGATGTCGTTTTGTTTTTTTGTTTGTTTGTTTACATTCATCTGTCTTAAACTGTATTTATTGCAGAGGGGATGGAATGGGTGATATACTTTCTAGATTCAAACTTAGGGATTTGATCCATATGTACAGTCAAACCTGCTTATAAATAAGATTGACGAACAGCTCAGGGGTGACTGTTGCAAAGAATATTATCTCATTACAGTGAGATGACCCATTTTATAGTGACATAGTGTATGTATATTTCCCTAGGAACACCAGTTGATCAGGTTACCCCGTAGACATTGCCTGTTCTCACCCCCATGCTTCCAGCCTGCCTGCTATGGAACAAAATAGGACTGACACAACCTGAACATGGCATGAAAGGTCATAGCCTGCATTATATACACAGTAACACTGCATAGCCTTGGAACCAGCTCATATACCATAGTTTCTCAATCATCATTGGCAGCAGTAGCAAATGCATGCCCTTTGTAGCTGGTTATTTAATAGAAGTGGTAAAACTGGGAGTGTACTTGTTGTTCTTAAAAGGTCAAATGAATTAGAAAACAAACGCTGAGCCTTTTATACGGCAGCATACATTTTTACGACTTAAGCAAAAAACTGGGAAACTGAATAAAATATACTGAACCATACAAGTAGAGTTCTAACAAACCTTGAACCTACTCGGCCGCCCTCTGTGAAGCAATCCCTGACAAGTGTTTAAGATGCAGTGAAATGATTTCTCACAAAATAAGTAGAAAATGTATCCTGGATTTTGTGGTTGCAAATGTCTAACACTTAGCTTGACCGTAAAAGACAGGGCAATCAACCTCAAGCACTGCATAAACCAGGGGTCTCATCTTAATCCCCTCATTAGAAATATGAAAAACTGATGAGCAAAGGGGTTATTCAGTACAAAGTCACCAAATTCATGAGCTGCAGAGCTGGAACTAACACCCAAGTCAACTAACTTCTACTCTAGGCATACCCAAGATGTCTTTCAAATTTTGGAACAAGGAAATGGTCATTTGTTTAATTTTTGTACCATGGCTTTTTATTTTGATTAGGAAAAGTCAATTAAAATCTTCTCAATTTCCAAATGCAACATTTCTGTTGTCTGAAGGATTCTGTTATCTTAATTAAGCCCAAAAAACTAAAGAGCTAATAGACAAAGGGTCTAGCCCCATCTCCCACTCTGAAGTAGTTAGGTAAATGGGGTTGAGATAGATATACCTAAATTTCCTACTGACTTGTGATTCTTTAATCTATGCTAAAGTATCCACTCAAAATTCATTTGATATTTTCTTTTTTTCTTTCTATTTTTTTCTTTTTTTTTTTTTTTTGGAGATGGAGTCTCACTCTGTCACCTAGGCTGGAGTGCAGTGGTGCAATCTCGGCTCACTACAACCTCCGCCTCCTGAGTTCAAGTGATTCTCCTGCCTCAGCCTCCCAAGTGGCTGGGATTACAGGTGCCTGCCTCCATGCCCGGCTAATTTTTGTATTTTTAGTAGAGACGGGGTTTTGCCATGCTGGCCAGGCTGGTCTTGAACTCCTGGCCTCAGGTGATCCACCTGCCTTGGCCCCCCAAAGTGCTGGGATTACAGGTGTGAGCCATTGTGCCTGGCCTTGATATTTTCTAATAATTAACTACGATGTAATGATTTTCTTTCAGAAGTATTCAATACTTATATTTGATTAGTGTACTTTGACTCCAAAGCATTCTTATGTATTAAAAACCAAATACTGATGTGAAAAATGGAAAAATAGCGCTTACATAACAGGGTTCAAGATAGTATCTATAGACAGCTAAAATAAGATCATGGTAAATAAACTACCACTAATCAAAGAACGTTATTATTATAATGAACACTCTTATGCAACTCTAGAGGAAATTAGAAGTGGCTATGATAGCTTTAAATTGAAAAGTATTTGTATCTTCATAACATTACCTTAAAATAATCATCTGACAATTGTTTCTATTTTCTTAAAACCATGCTATCTGCTGACACTAGAATTGAAAGGAACACTAGAAGCCATGTATTTCCAGGGAATCCCTAACTTTATCAGAACACTTTCTTCCTGTTAAGGAAAAAGGTAAATGTCTGCTATACATGGCTTTGAATTTATTTAGTTGAGACAGACTCTCTGTAGCCTCTTATCTTTCCACCCTCAATAATGCCTCAGTCAATCCTAAATAACACTCTTAATGAAACCACTGACCTAGTTCAACTCTCTTATTTTGTAGATGAGGAAGTTCAAGCCCAATGTTATCAAAGATGGTGAATTAGTGTTAGAAAAAGAATTCCAATGTGCAGTAAAGGATTAACCTTGTGTAAAAAGAGGTATGGCCTTTGCCTTGGCTCCCGGGAACTAACCACAAATCCCTTGGAATATCACTTGTCCAATGAAAGTGTATTTGTGTCTTTGTGGGCTTTGGGACATGCATAGAGTCAATGCTAATAATGCAATTTAAGTGGGGGATGTTGGGCTTGGGACATATATCAGTTCAATCACTGGATGGGCTGGCAGCTAAGCTTGGTTACGTGGGTGGTACCTATATGTAACTGATTAAGCTCCAGTAACAATTCTGGACACCAAAGCTGGGGTGAGCATCTCTCATTGGCAATACTTCATGCATATTTCCACATGTTGTTGCTGGAAGCAATAGGGGCCATCCATAGGACTCCGCAGGAAGAGGACAACTGGAAGTTTATATCTGGTGACTCCTGGATATATCCCTTCCCTTAGCTGACTTTAGTCTGTGTCCTTTCAGTGTAATACATTGTAACCATGAGTAGAATGGCTTTTCTAAGTTCTGTGAGTCCTTCTAGCCAATTATTGAACCTAAGGGTGGGGACTCTTGAACACTGTAGGAAATCACTATCTCGACTTCCTTGGTGCATTTCTCTTTTTCTAATACCATGTGAATAACCCATACAAACCATTTTCAATGTGGCCCAGTAAAGAATAGTCACTATACATAAATACCCCCCCAAAAATAAGATTCAAAGTATAATCTATACCCTTATTATTTTAGTATTATATAGATGAGGGACCATAAGTATAATCTAAGAAGTAAAAGTTTTTCTATTAACAATAAGGTCCACATGAATAAACTGGGATTTTTGAAACACATTTAATTTTACTAAGCATTTTTTGTCTATTTATTTCATTTATTTTACTCACAGCTCTGTATAGTAGGAAACTATTATGGCCATTTGTATTGTGAGACCTAAAATTTTAACTGCTGCCTTCACATGTTTGAGCCCCACAGGGACCCAAAAGCTTGGGTGTTTTCCCACCTCTCACCAGGTATGCCCCAACCTAGTGGGAAAGTCTTCCTGCTCAGTTAGTTCCTTTATCAGCTGGGGCAGCTGCACCCTATATGGTGCTCAATTGTTCCTCAGCAACCTAATAGGTTTCACCTACCTACCATGGTATTCAAAGAAGCCAATCACATCCTCCCATGAGAACCAAAGGGTATCCCATCCTTTGCTACCGCAAAGCCTGCTTCCCACAGCCCCTTCTGATTCATGCTACTCCTGAGCATAACTTCCATGTACCCTGCATGGCATGCAGTGTGCTCCTCCACTGAGCTGTAAGTATCTGTGACCAAAAAACTGCTCCAGTCTCATCTGTCCAGTGTCGGGTATCATATATTTGGCTATATTGTATTATTTAGGGCATGCGACTCCTCCTTCACCATTACAATGAACAGGAGGTGATCAGAACACCATTGTGCAAATGAACTGAGCCCATCTTTTATGTCATGCACATGTATAACAAGACTTTCTAATCACATAGTTAGTTCATCATAAACATTTCTCTGTCTGCTGCATTCAGGCTGCCTTTTCAACTGTATGGCACCCAAGATGGAACAGTGCTGAGAGTTCAGTGTTAGAAAGAATAAATAAGGAGATATTTTTCTGGGGCCAGCACCAAAGCTAAAGTTTCACGTGAGAACAATAGCTTCAGTTTTCTTTTCTTTTTTTTTTTTTTTCAGGCCAAAAAAATTACACAGACTTTCTTGGCAATCTGATAGCAACAGGCTAGGAAAATAGATTAATTTCAATCAATACCAGTGTTTTTAAGAAACTGGGCTTTAAGGAAAGGGGAATCATTTCTTTTAGGTCATTTAGCCTGTTTCAATTTCATGGCCACAGCTTACACCCATGAATGTAGCTTTGTAGCTACAATGGTGTTCAAAATGGGGGCACTGAGTAAACAAGCCCAGCTGCACGGTGTAGTCTTAAGGCAGGCAGAGGGTGGGGATCTGTTAAACTTTTCTTGGTCGCTCTGTTTTTGTAGGGAAAACCAAACCGAAGGGATTTTTCCATTCTCTTACTCAACTACAATCAACATAGAAGATTTCTGTGATCTCTGGTCATTAGGAAGTGTGAGGCTGTAACCCCACTGATAACCAACGAACCAATTGTGCAGCTGGGTGTCCTCTAATTCAACTTCAACACCATCTATTTGGAGATAGCTTCAGACCACAGAAGTTGAGGGCTCATTCCCACAACACTGCTCCCCACTTCCAATACCAAACACAAGCCCCAATGTTTTACCTGCATTTCTGCCCAACTGGCAATAAATTGGAGTTCCCATAACCCCCTCCTTGGGTTTAATTAATGTCTTGGACTCACAGAACACAAGGAAACATTTGTTTACACTTATGAGTTTATTGTAAAGGATATTACAAAGGATACATATGAAGAGATGCATCGGGCAAGGCATGTGGGAACGGGCACAGAGCTTTCATGCTCTCCAAGGCCATGCCACTTTTTAGGAACCTTCACCTATTTGGCTATCTAGAAGCTCTCTGAACACTGTCTTTTTGGGTGTTTATGGAATCTTCATCACTTAGGCATGATTAATGAAATCATTGGTCATTGGTGATTAACCTAATCCTTTGTCCCTCTCCCCTCCCCTGAGATTGGGAGGTGGAGTTGAAAGTCCCAACTCTCCCATCATGCCTTGGTCTTTCTGGTGACCAGCCCCCACCCTGAAGCTAGCAAGGGGCTGCCAGCCACCAGTCAACTCATCAGCATACCAAAAAAATTACTCTGAAGTCCAAAGATTTTTGGAATTGTATTTAAAGAGACTGAATGAAGACCAAATACATATTTCACAATTACCCCAGACACTAATTTCTAGGATTTCATTATAGCGTACAGTGAACCCAATGGAACTGTTTTGGGAAATACTTACACAGCATCTTTAAAAAGATAAAGGTACTTGCTCAATGTTGTGAAGCTTCCTTTTAAAGGTAGTGGTGAGAGGTGACAGTGTGCTGGCAGCCCTTGCTCGCTCTCGGCGCCTCCTCGGCCTCGGCACCCACTCTAGCCGTGCTTGAGGAGCCCTTCAGCCCGCCACTGCACTATGGGAGCCCCTCTCTGGGCTGGTCGAGGTCGGAGCCAGCTCCCTCTGCTCGCAGGGATGTGTGGAGGGACAGGCGCTGGCAGGAACCGGGGCTGTGCACCACGTTCGCGGGCCAGCGTGAGTTCTGGGTGGGCATGGGCTCAGCGGTCCTGCACTCGGGGTGGCCAGCTGGTGCCACCAGCCCCGGGCAGTGAGGGGCTTAGCACCCGGGCCAGCAGCTGCAGAGGGTGTGCCGGGTGCCCCAGCAGTGCTGGTCTGCGGGCGCTGCGCTCGAATTCTTGCTCGGTCTCAGCTGCCTCCCCACGGGGCAGGGCTCAGGACCTGCAGCCTGCCATGCCCGAGACTCCCCCCGCTGCCCTGGGCTCCTGCGCGGCCAGAGTCTCCCCAAGGAGCGCCGCCCCCTGCTTCACGGAGCCTGGTCCCATCAACCGCCGAAGGGCTGAGGAGTGCTGGTGCAAGGCAGAGGACTGGCAAGCAGCTCCACCTGCTGCCCCAGTGCAGGATCCACTAGGTGAAGCCAGCTGGGCTCCAGAGTCTAGCGGGGACTTGGAGAACCTTTATGTCTAGCTAAGGGATTGTAGATACACCAATCAGCACTCTGTGTCTAACTCAAGGTTTGTGAATGCACCAATCAGCACTCTGTGTCTAGCTCAAGGTTTGTAAATGCACCAATCAGCGCTCTGTATCTAGCTAATCTGTGGGGACTTGGAGAACTTTTGTGTCTAGCTGAGGGATTGTAAACACACCAATCAGCACCCTGTCAAAATGGACCAATCAGCTCTTTGTAAAACAGACCAATCAGCTCTCTGTTAAACGGACCGATCAGCAGGATGTGGGTAGGGCCAGATAAGGGAATAAAAGGAGGCTGCCCAAGCCAGCAGTGGCAACCAGCTGGGGTGCCCTTCCACGGTCTGGAGGTTTTGTTCTTTTGTTCTTTTGTTCTTTGCAGTAAATCTTGCTGCTGCTCACTCTTTGGGTCCGCACTACTCTTATGAGCGGTAATACTCACCGGGAAGGTTTGCAGCTTCACTCTTGAGGCCAGCGAGACCACTAACCCAACTAGGAGAAATAACGCCAGACGCGCCACCTTAAGAGCTGTGACACTCATCATGTAGGTCTGTAGCTTTGCTCCTGAAGCCAACAAGACCACGAACCCACCAGAAGGAAGAAACTCCGAAGATGTCCGAACATCAGAAGGAGCAAACTCCGGACACATCACTTTTGAGAACTGTAACACTCACCACGAGGGGCCGCGGCTTTCTTGAAGTCAGTGAGACCAAGACCCCACCAATTCCGGACACAGTGGGACATTAAAAATTGAGATTCTATTCTTTATTTATTTTTGATTATAAATTGGCAATTTATAATTGTATCAATTTATGGGAAACAAAGTGTTATTATGATTTATGAATATAATGTATAATTAAATCAAGCTGTTTAACTTTTTTGTGGTGAAAACATTTGAAATTTACTCTTAGCAATTTAGAAATATACAATGCCCTATTATTAACTATATCTACTATATTATAAAATAGAACTAAAAAAATATATTCCACCTGTCTAATTGAGATTTGGTACCCTTTGCCCATCATCGCCCCATTCATCCCACCCTCAGCCTCTTTAGCCACCATTCTGTTTTGTGTTTCTATGAGTTCTATTTTGAGAATTGCAGGGCACTGAAAATAGAGTGGGCTTTCCATTCAGGCAACTCAAAGGTAATATTTATTTCTGCCTCTGTATAGTTTTGCATCTTTAGGCAAGGTTCTCTGCTCCTTTAATTTCTTCATCTGAAAATTGAGAATAATTATTTGGAAAACAAATATAATAGATATAACATTTTTATTATATCTAGGCACTTATTTCAAAACCTCTGCATTTGTAAGGATACAGTTAAATTTTCTGAGAAATAAAATGATCTAAAGATGTATGTTACAAGTACAAAATTATAGAAGAGTCATGTGTGGCATTTAAAAAGACAACTGAGGGAATTTGCTTTGAATAAGAAAAAATAGAAATTTTTTTGTGTATTTTTTAACCATACTTGCCTGTAAGCAGAAGGGTGTTAAAATCCTAAAAGTTGATTATTTTGCTTCTGAAAATGTTGTCAGTACCATCTCTTAATTTTGTTTGAAATAATTTACTTATTCAAATTTTCCTGGGCTTTATCTCATACAGTGTATGGTAAAGTAATGTAACTCTAGGCTTATTTCTTGACAGTCATCTGCAGAGGCTGAGGGAATCTGCAGTGAGTTAGTGTTAGAGCACAGGCACATGGGCACTGGAGGGATTTTGAAACAGCCTTTTCAAAGCAGAACCTATCTGGTGAAACAAGGATGTCTAATATAAAGCAGAAGCATGCCTTCTAGAGAAAGGACATTTTATGCCGAATTTATGCTGTATCGAATTTTGCAGAGTAAATGGAGAAGTGTGAGAGTTTGAATTTCCCTTTATTGCTCCAGTCAGCAAAGACCAAAAACCCAAATCCAAGCCTTTATCAGATTATCTCCCTACAAATCCCTGACATAAGGTAAACATGGCCACATTTTTCCTGTCCTAATTCAATATTGACATGCAGCCTCACAACTGATATAATGGTTGTCTTTTTCCCAAATTTCACACACAAAAACGTGAGTCTTGAAAAAATGAACGTTTTGTGCAAATATATTTCAAAAGAGACGAATAAATATTTGAGTTGTTTTGGCAGACAATCTGGGGAGATTAAACTTTTATTTTGCTTTATGCATAATCCCATTTTGGTCTATGGACAGGGAAGCATGGAATCACCAGAGGTGACGTTGGTTTGGGCACAGTGTAGACTGAACATAGAGGTACAAATAATTTTATTTTTCAGTTTTCAAAGTGTAGATATGACTGAAAATCCAAAAGTTTTGCTACAAACTGTTTCCTTTAAAATTTCAAACCCTAAAGAAGTTAAGTTCTTCTATGTTTGAGTGATTTGCCTACAAACAACTAAAAATGTTGTTTTGAAAATTGCTTAATGACTTAGGCACATTTCTAACTTTTTCGTTAATCTGTATGACTATTTTCCGTGTATAAATACTCATAAGAAAAACTTTTTACTAAATGTCTGCGTGCTTTAGGACACGTAATGTGTTTTTCTTTTTCTTTAAATGGTAAAAAACAGCAAAGCAAATTATAAAAACATTAAATACCACAATGTTTATGCCAGTGTAAAAGAACGCTCTTATCTTCACCAGTACCCCAAGTCTTTCTCCCAGAGACAGTCTCAACAGAAAGTTCCTTGAATATTCTGTCAAAAATGTGCATGTGCTTGTAAGCATCTATATTTGTGTACTTTTCATCTTCAAAAATTACAGCATATTCTGTTGAGTTTTTTTCACTAACAATTTGACAGATATAAACACCAATTTTTTAGAGACATACACCAACAAACACTTCTAACACTTCCAACAGCAACTCAAAAATTTTTTTTTAAAATTTGAAACATTTTTATATTTGTTGATTTGATTTTTAAAATATTTAAAAAGTCATATTAATGTAATTATAAGTGAAAGTTGCAGTCATCCTATAGGCTTATAAACTACTTAGATTTACCTGTTATTTTCTATTGGCTTGATGGTGTTTTACGAGGTTATGTGTTCTTAAGATATTAAAATAATAAAATGCCAGCCATATATAATGCATTTTCAAATATTGTGTGGTTTTTATTACAAGATTGTTAAATTATTGATATTCATAATTTATATACTTTTATTTATACAAATATATCAATCTTTTCCCTATGTGTCTGTATTCTGTGTCTTGGTGATCTACATCCTGACAATTATACAATGTCCATTTTCTCTCCACCAATAACTCTCCTTAGAGGTCAGAATGACATAACTAGCCAACAGTTCAATTTTATAGGTCTTGCATATTTCATACATAACCAAAACTAACTTACTATCTTTTTTCTTATCATCTTTTCTCATGCATTTTCTCTTTTCTACTGGACATCACCTCACTAGACCCCACTCCAGTACATCTGTTCTGACTGGTCAGTGTCCACACACCAGATGTTACATGTTTTGATTATCACTGCTGTTTACATTCATGCACACATGTGAAAGATTGCCTTGGCCAATGGAATGTGGGTAGATGCAGCCTCACCTTGTATGCAAGCAGAAACTCTAAAGACAATCACATGTTTCTGCCAGGTTTCATGCTTCTGTCTGACCTTGTTTCTGTAGAAGGGATATGGAGGAAGAGCTGTGGAGAAGAATACAGCTGCAAATCAGCAGAAAAGGATTTCAGTATTTCAACAATCATTTAAGTTACATCAGTGGGGACTGCATGACTATTTGTCTTGTAAGTGTATGTGAACACAACCAGCTCATATAGTTCACTGCCTGCTGAAAGGGAGACCTCAGATTCAGAACCTATCTAGACTGAAATATTTCACCTTCAATTGACCCCTCTTCATTTAGCTTCTATCTGCATTGGCAGCACCATCATCTATCCAGCCTTAACTCTTTAGATTCAGTAACTTGCCCCATCCAACTGATGAACAAGATGATCTCCTAAACAGTTTTCCAACCAACCCATCTCTCATTGCCCTGGAGCTTGGTTTAATTCTCATTATAACTACACTTCTGCAAGGGCCCCTGAATAGCTCTTCCTGCCTCCCTTCTATAGCAGCTAAAGTAGCTTTTCTAGAAGAACAATATGTTGACATCACTTTCCTTCTTAAGAACTTTCAATAGTTCCTCATGTTTACAGATTTAATGGTTAGATCTCCAGAGTGTCCTATCTCCCCTCCAGAAGCCAGACCCTCTACAGCTCTGGCCTCATTGGCCCCTCCCTCCTGTACATATAACATTCTAGAAAAACTGAAACGTTGGTAATTCCTCTCATATTTATTGTTTCTCTGTACCTTTGATGTTACTCATGCTGCACTCCATTTCTTGAAAGTTATTTTCCTTTCCCTTTCCTCAGGCATTACTAAGAGAAAAGTTTTTTACTCTGTCCCATAGAAAAATAAGTGTCCCTTTCTTTTTACTCCCATAATGCCTTGTGCACAACTCTATTATATTTCATACATTATATTTATTTTTGTGTCTATCTTTTCCTATGACAGTTAGTTCTTTCTCTCTTTTTTTGAGATGGAGTTTCTCTCTTGTTGCCCAGGCTGGAGTGCAATGGCACAATCTCAGCTCAACACAACCTCTGCCTCCCGGGTTCAAGGGATTCTCCTGCCTCAGCCTCCCAAGTAGCTGGGATTACAGGCATTTGCCACCATGTCTGGCCAATTTTGTATTTTTAGTAGAGACCGGGTTGCTCCATGTTGGTCAGGCTGGTCTTGAACTCCCGACCTCAGGTGATCTGCCCACCTCGGCCTCCCAAATAGCTTTTTTTCCATTGATTGTAAAGGCTGGCAAATATATGTAAAGACTGGCAAATATGTGTAAATTTAATTGATTGTAAAGACTTTCCAATATATGATACATAGAGTAAGTTCTAAAATATCAAATAAAAAACATAATGGATGAATGAATAAATAAATGTGTAAATAAATGACAGATAGGATATCATCCTTATTATATTGTATTTCAATTTCTGATTGTTATACCATTTTGCTTTCTATTTTCTAAGCTCTTAGATGGTAGGGATCATGCCTTTCAATGCAGGGTCTAAATCAATGACTCAGAGCAGTAGATACTTAAATGTTTGCTTAAAGACTGGCTGAATGAATGCTGGGAAAGTTAAATGTTAAAAGAAGAGCTGACAAACAAGGGAGTTCATTGTCAAAAATAAGGCTTCAAACAGTAAATTATACAGTTTGGGTAATTCTTAGTGCTATTTTATTTCCTTTATAAATTACAATATTCTTTTTCTTAATGAGCTAAGGGAATAAAGATATTATTCCAGTTGCGCATCAGATATGTAGCATATGTAAGCCAGGAAAACAGAATTCAGCAGCTATTAAAATGTATCGAAGCTTGTGTGTATGTTTCTTAAACAAATAATTAGAATGTAAGGTAAATCTGACACCTTGCTGGTTTATTTTGTGAAAAATATTAAAATTTTCAGCATTTTAAGCAAAACTCTTTATTGCAGTTAAGATTTCATTTCAAACAAAGAGATTTACCTGTTTCTGAACCACTAAAGGCAATTCGTGTCTGTTTCAGCTGGTTTAGGAAAAGGTAGGGCAAATAGCAGAACCCAAGAGATTCATCTTAATTTCCCTGACCGAGTAACATTTAAGGAAGTTATAGGGCATGAAATAAACAAACCTGGAAGATCTTAAGAGGGGAACTATGGTTCCAAATGTGAACAGCCAGGGTAAATTCTGCTATTGGAAAGATACTAGATATAAGCATGTATTTAGAAATACAAGTTGGGATCTGGAGAGAATATCCCCTCCATCCCATTAAGACAGGCCTAGAGGAGGAAAGGCATTTCCTAAAAGAGATATGGCAAAAAGGACCCTGGCGTGATTCTTCTCAGTTAGTAGGTTTTGATGTAAGTTCATTGCTCATATCTAGCATTTGAAGCAACATTGGTTAGTAAATTAAAGAGTGGAGCCTATATAAACATGGAGAAAATTAACATGGCATGTTCCTGAAACAAGCTCTTGGCTAGAATTTAAAATATTGTTTATCATTATCCATTTTATGCAAAAGAAGATGATTCATTGTTAAAGTAAATATTTCTGGGTTATTTAGGTGAATGTATAGCAGTGAGTACAACAGCTAGTGAATACAAGATTCCAGGGATAAAACTGTCTCAAATAGGGAGGGTCATTTCCTCAGTGCAGCCTGAGTTAACAGTCATGTGGAAGAAGGAAAAAATTCTTAGTCAATAAGAGCCCAGGTGGCAGCTAGATAAACAGTGCTTAGTGTCAAATGTAAAAGGCACTTTATAAATTTGTTTACTAATTTACAGGTTTGTGAAGATAATGGTCACCACTTAACCCCAACTCTTAGCATAATACCCGAAACACAGCAAGAATTCAATAGACATCTTTTAGTTGAATAAATTAATAAATACATGAATATATCAGAAAGAATTTTTTTTAAATGCAAATCAAGAGTGGTTATCGGAGGCTTAGAAAACTGAAAGGAGTCCAAGCTAAGAGATTGGTTCAGTACTGAGGTCATGAAGAGATACTGAATCCAGCAGCTCTCCTTTAAGATCAGGTACAATATATGTTGCTGGGTTGATCATTCCCCTTTGAAGTTGCTATATGGAAAAAAATAAAAATAGTTCTAGCCAGTGAAGAAGCATTGACTAAAATAATCAAATACAAACAACAATAGATCTATTTTTGCTTATTTTTTTAACACTATAGATTTAGCATTTGTATTTTGTAATGGTTTTCTAAATGACCCAGTGTTAGACATTGTATCTTTGTAAGCCTACATTTTTTGACAGTGTATTCAATTAATAATACTACCATCAATTTGTGAAATTTGTGTATATTTGAAGCAGTTCTGAAGTTTGCATTAAGATATTTAATTGAATAATGTTGTGACTGTAAGTATTACAAATGTTTCTTATAATCCTTTCTTTCTGTAACTGAGAGGAAAATGTGTTTTACCAAGATGCTTTTAGAATAAACTTTATTTCCTCTTATAAAGAATGAAGAATATTCATTAAGAAAAAGTTGGAAATATAAAACAAAAATAATAATATAATGGAATACTGCATCACATCCTCTTGAACCATCACTGACTGTAGTCATAGCTACAAATGACCATTCCACTTAAGCTCAGACACCTTCTGTTGTCAGCATTATCCTTCCAGCATCCTGATGCATATCTTTGACTTCGGCCCCAGAACTTCTCAAATGTTTCAGGAACCAACTCAGCTCTTGTGTAACCATGGCCTGGAAGCATAGGCAAGTTAACGTCCCTGCAGTCAACCATCAACCAAAGAAAGATGGGAGGCAGTAGATAAATGTTCCAACCTCCAGTCTTTCTGGAAGACGCTCTAAACACTTTTTGGGAGTTTGTAGTGGAATAGAGTACCTGTTGGCCACAGCAACAACACTATAGGCTTTTCTGCCTTTTCCGTCTCATTCTCCCCTTGCTCCTTCTCCTGATTTCACCTCTTAAATAAGCTACCTGATTGCAAGTCCTTTTTCTTAGCCTGTAATTCAGGAGAACCCAAACTAAGACACATAATAACAAGAAATATAGCTATGGTTACAAAACTTAGACATAACCAACCCTAACATTTTGGATGTCATCCTTCCAATTTGACTTCTTTTTTCGAACTCTGTAAGATTATATATTTGGAAATAGTTTGAACATTACCAAATTATGCACAGCAAATGATGAAAATTTCCTTCCACGTGTTCACCAGCCACATTTCCAGCTAACCTCTCTCCATAGCAGTAAGTCATACTAAAGTTTAATATAAATCCTTCTTATTATGCTCTTTTATACATATAAATGTATAAATACAAACAACTGTTCTGTCTTTCTTGGTTACTATTAAGAGCACTTACAACTACATATTTTTCTATATATCTTTGACCAGTTTTAATAAAATACGAAGTTATCATTTTTGTTATTTTATGAATAGTATATAATTGATCATTGATTACCTCTTTGACCCATGATATGTCTTTAGTAATTGAGATTAAATAAATAAATCACTAATGGATGACATACAATTTTTTATTTCAGAAATGTTAAGTGAATCTGAAATCAGCAACCTGTTTTTAAGTGTTCAGGATCTATGCCAATCAGCAATTGTTGTGCAATAGACTCTCTCAAAACACAGAATGAGAACAGTCACTTCAAGCATCTTTGAGTCAGGTGAGTACCAGCTGATCTTGGCTGAAATCAGTGGGCAGTGGGCAGCCTTGCTGTCTGCTTCAAGTTCTGATGGCTGGGATGGTTCTGCTTCCATGTATTTGTCGTCATTCTCTATGGCCTGCCAATGTGAATATTGTTCTATTAGGTGTGCTGCTTTTACCTGAATAGAAAACCGACCAAAATTTTACCTACTGTAGAAGAAAATGCTGAATGATCAAAATGATGTTAATCACTACTGTAACTGTGTCTCTCTCCCTCTATCATCAGTGTCATATTGTATGATGTATTGTCTCTATTATTAGGGAATAACTTTTCCCTATATACATGTATATGCCCCTTTCCACTAATTTCAATTATAGAGGCTTTTAATTCAAGACAAGTTTTGCATATTGTTTTATAAAATAAATATATTTACTTTTTAGAAAAGAAAACACATAAGCAAAATAAACAATAAGAAATGTTTTTCATGCCTGGTATCTAAAAACCCATAGCAGGGCTTCTCTGAAACACATAAAAGTTTTGTAGGATGGAATTCTATTACATAGCAACACAAAAAAGCTTGGGATCATCAAGGTCCTGTAACTTCCTCATGAAGATGAGGTCTTCAATTCATTTTTTATGGTTGTTTTCTCCCCTGTGAAATCTAGATTATGATTCAGGCTGCATCATACTCTTGCTCCAATGGAAGAAGAGTTTGTGACGACAGTTCCTATTTAAGCCAACTCTTTTTGTGACAATTTCATGGCTTCTCTCTTCTTCTTCTGACAAATGTGTTTAAAAGCAGCTACAGCTGTTAAAACCCCAATAAGCTGCTCAGTGATTTTGAGCTGAGTGGGCAGCCCTTCCATACTAACTGCCATGTCTTGTCTGTGCTATATTTTCTATTTAGTGGTTATGTCTAAACACTGGCTATTCTCAAAACCATCACAAAATCATGGCTCAAAATGAGGAAAGAGAAAAATCAGTTACCTTGTGCAATGCAATTTTGGTACTAACTACCCAGAGTTAAGCCAGATTTCACAAGTTAAGCAGTCCTCCATATGACTGCCCTCACTTCAGACATCAGCTACAAACTTGGGGACTCCTAGGCCACCCACACTTTTGAACAAATTGCTACAAATTTAGGGGTTCCCACTATCTGCTCTGCTTCAACGATTTGCTTTAATAAACTCAGAAAAGTACTGTGCTTAAAATCACAGTTTTATTATAGCAACAAAGGATACAAATCAGGCCAGCCAAAAAGAGCGATGGAGAGGGAAAGTTATGGGAGGCCCCCCAGTGAAAAGCTTCTATGTTCACTCTCCATGGAACCAGGATGTATCTTCCTCCTGGCACATTCATGTGTATTACCAACCAGGAACCTTGCCTGAGCTTCGCGTCTGAGTTTTTATTGGGAGTTCATGATGTAGACATGATGGATTGAATCACTAGCCTTGAGGTTGAACTCTTATCTCCAGCCCTCCTCCCCTCCATGGAATTTGCGTTAATTTCAAGTGGCACAAAGCCCCAATCCTCTAATCACATGGTTGGTCTTTCTAGCACGGCCAAGTCCCATTGGAATCATCTCCTTAGCATAAACTCACCTGTCATCCAAGTAGCCCACCGTGAATAACAAAGACTTTCCTGTCACTCTGGGAATTCCCAAGGTTTAGAAGCTCCCTGCCAGGAACTGTGGACAAAGACCAGCCAAATGATTTAGTATATGATACCTTGGCATAATGATTGAGTATCTAAAATACACCTCTGTTATTTGACAACGAAAACAAAAAGAAGAGGAAGCAATAGAAGTAGAGAAGTGATGTTCTTTGTAAAGCCAGAGGAGCATATATAAACCACCTATTAATAATGCTCACATAAGACCCACACAATCTAGGGTTTTAACACAAATGCAAATACATAATAGTGAAAGGAAAACCCAACTTTTAAGTTGAGCAATCAGAGTAAGAATACTTAAATTTGAAATCCAGGTCTATCCTAGCTAATTTTACTTTTCAGCAAATCACTTAAACTCTGTGAACGAACTCAATTTCCTCACCTCTAAATCAGTAATAAAATATTTTCCAGGAATGTTATAAAGGATATAATTAATAAATACAAATGAGATTCAGGTTAGGGGTAAATAGCTCACTAGAGGGGAATCTGATTGTATAACACAAATTTTTTATTTCACCAATTGTGAAGATTCAGCTCCCCAATTGAAGTCACAGGACTTTTCTTCCTCCCTAACCCATATCCACCTAATCTCACAACTCTGGCTCTGAAGATGTGTTTAGGAACAGATAGGAGAAATAATACCCAACCAATAACGGACTTTGTAACCTAATAATTGCTGGACGAGTGGCACATATGACTGGTATAAATTTTTTGCAACACTGGTTTACCAAATCTGGTTTCTTTCGTCTAATTGGCCAGAAACCTTGGACATTCTCTCCGGGAGATCCTTGAAATGTAACAAACGACAGAAAGATATTTTTCTATCATATTGATGGCAACAGGGGGATGGTATCTACTCTGAAATTCCATACACAGTTGATGCTTTCTTCTACAATGGGGACAACCTTTAAGCAGCCTATTCTAAACAGCATCACAAATTCCTGCAGGCTGTTAGCTTGAAGACCTTTATTTCGTTTTGCTTTCAGTCCCTCTCAAGTTATGATTGGTAAATGATCTATAGATGGTTAATATGTTTTTCCACAGGTCTAGAGTTCTTGTAGCTAAGGAAATTAAACTCCCTCATCAACCTTAAATGTGAAATTAAAGAAATGTAGGTCCTGAACTGGACGCCAATATTCAAATGTCTTGAAACATGCTGACTTTGTCTTATACATAACTTCCCTTGTTGTTCTCCAGCCTTCCAACTGGGATCATCAAATTATCAGCCAGCAACTAGCAGCCTAATTTCTTATAGGCAGCTTCTTTGTAAGGGATAAGCAAAATGCTTGAGAAGCAGCAGTTTTTGCAATTGTGAGAGGATTTCTCGTATTGTAGAAGGAACTGATATGAAGAAAGATTATGTGATAATATGTGCGATTATGTGATAATATGAAGCACCCCCAGATATGGATTGCTATGTTCCAGGTACTTTATGTACATTATGCAATTGAGGGGTTTTATGTGCCTTGTTTCATTTAGGATTCACATGGTTCCATGAGATTAGTGTTATTGTGGTTCAGGTCGAGAGTATTTAAGTAAATTGCTACAGGCGGTAAAGCCAGAAAGTGGTAGAGCCCGTTTGTATACCATTCATGCCACAGTTCTTAAAGACTATACTATACTGCTTGTGTAGGGAAATACATTTCACAATAAATCACATGGACAAGGCCTAATGCATGTTGTCAAACAACAGAAGTAAGATAAAATCCTGAAACCTACAGGGATGGTTAATCTATCTTAATATATGGGAAGGCTGATTAGTCAGAACTGTTCTTGGATCGGGCTGCCTATGAGTTGGTGAGCTGCCTGTTATTGATGGAGTCCAAGAAGATGGGAGATAAGCACTTTGTGGAGTGTAGTCAGGGGAACATAGCATCCTACGGACCTGAAAAAGATCCTTTCTGTGTTTAGAGAACACTTATTAATCACCAAATGTCCAAGCCCTTTATATCTATTTCCAGTCCTTCAGTTAGTCTAGCCTGATTCTTTCCTACTTATATAATTATTTTCAATTTTCCATTTTCTGTCCAGTGCTCTATAAGGAAATAACTTGATCAACTTAAGTCCCAAAGGAGAGATAACAGAAGCAATATCCTCTACAAGAATTCCTGGAAAAATGGTGTTGTGAAGAGAGTTTATTCCTAGCCTCCTAAATGGCCAGTCCTTGACTATCAGCTCAGTAAAAAACAAATCCTCCTTTGTGTCCTTAGAGATCATAATCATATCAAGTTATAATATTCACATGAATCTGTTTGTCTTCTCCTTTTCTCTACGAGTCCCTGGGAGTTAAAAGAGAGACCCAATAGCTTTAATTAAAAAAAAAAATCCCTAAAATTACTGTTCTCAGTAATATGTTTAAGAGTATTTTACAAATATACACTATATAGAAACCTCCAGAAGCCTAGATTAAAGAAAATAACACAAAGACAAAATGATTAATATGCAAAAAACAGTAACTTTGATGCAGAAAAGAGATGACAAAAAATATAAAAATATTTTTGTTGTTTAACTTTAGATATTTGACAGAGAATTTCATCATTAGCTAGACCTAGTTAAATTTTAAAAAATCACAGTCAATTGCTTTCAAAATATAAAATTCAAATGACTTCACATCTCAATTATATTTCAATGATGCCTGCGATCACAAGCACACACATCAAGGGCTCCCTACCCAGGTCCTTTCAAGTCATGCAATACACTGACAGCTGTGTAGTCAAGCATCTACTAAAGCTAGTTCTGTTCTTCATGTATCCCTCTTTAGACTTAGCCCTGGGCTCCATTCTTTATTTTCAGTACCCTCTGCCTCTCATTCATGAGAATTGTGTCAAGAGCTAATACTGGTTAAAACTTCTTATCAAAATCCAGACCTTTTTTAGCATTTGGAGGCTCCCAGATTTTAGAGAAATTTCATAGCATACATATTATATATGATTTCACAGCACCAATAGTGCCTTGATTAACAAATTCATAATCAAACATATTAATAATTCTATGGAAAATTATATAAATATTTACTCTGAGAGAGATAAAGACCATTAATACCTGCACATATCTTTGGATCCAGATTCCTACCAAATAAGTCAAAAAATACTTTTGTTTTTTGGAGATTTGTGGATATCTAAATGGCAGATACAGGATGATAGATCAGTAGTGATTCTACAATATGTCAGACACGTACTACATGCTGTACATTCATCTGACTTTGCTTTGTTGTAATACCTAATGTAGTTGCTCAATATGCCAGTTCTGCATATCATAGAGCTCAGAGAGGTGAGGTTTCTCACCTAAGATCACACAGATGGCAATCAACGCCAGGGTGCTATGGTTTAGATATATCCCCCAGAGCTCATGTGTTAAAAACCTAATCCCCAATGCAGCATTATTAGAAAGGGAGGCCACTAAGAGGTGACTAGGTAATGAGGACGGACCCCCTCATGAATGGATTAATGCCATCATTGTTGGACTGAATCAGTTATCATGAGACTGGTGGTTTTATAAAAGGAAGTTCAGCCACCATTCTCTGTCTTGTGTGTTCACTTCCACCTTCCACACTTCCACCATGGCATAACCCTTGCCAGATGCTGGCACGTTTTGGGATTTTCCAGTGTCCAAAATCATGAGCTGAATAAATCTTTTTTTCTGTATAAATTATCCAGTTTATGATATTCTGTTGCAGCAGCAGAAAACAGGCTAATAAGGGTTAATGCCCAAACCTCAGCTTGTATACACTTTACCACTAACACTTAAGCATGTTCTCCCCAGCTTTGATTCCATTTCCTTTCCATGATGCTCCAAATTGTTACATAGGATAATACTGTAACAAAAACCGAGGATGTGTGTGAAGTCCAGAGGATTATTATCTCCAGAGAATGATGCCATGGGGTAGAGGAACGGGAAAGTGGGGAAGTAAGTAGGAAACTCCTATGTGCTGAAGGGAAGGTTATATCACTTACTCTGCAAGTTGTATGGGGAGAGGCACCCCCCACCAATACAAAATCTGACTTTCTATAGTAAGTTGGTATATAAAAAGGTAGAGACAAAAATAAAGCCCATTTCATAGATGACTCTGACATAGAGCTTGGGAATCTCTTGGTCAGTTGTGCTAAGTCCCAGTCCATGTTCTTAGACCTGTTGTCCAGCTTGAATTTATACTTCACAGCCTTTGTACTAATCCCAGGCAATGCAAATACGGTAATCAGAAAGTGCAATGGAAATGATAATTTAAAAAGAGGTGTATTAAATTTAAAAAATAAGTTTATGTACAGCTTAAAATTGAGCAAGGCATTTTCTTTCTACATATACACTTAAATTCACTCTAATAGCAAATATTTTGTCTAAGAACACTTTTAACCAAAGGCCAAGGTCATTTATTTGTGACAAATATCCCCAACAAGGAGAGAACTAGAGGGCCCCAATGAATTCAGGCCAGAGACAAGGAAAGCATCACAGATTGAGTCCAATTATGGGGACAGATAATTCCAAGAACTAAGGGAGGCACGGAGGCCTAAGGCCTTATTGGCTGACCCTTCCTTGACTTGTCAATCTAATGTGATTTTAATCAGGAGGTCCTAGTTTAGTCATTACAATGGTATCCAGGGTTTGATCCACTTCCTGATCTATGATGTGGGGCTGGCCCGGACTGGTGTCTCATCTCATTTGCCATCTGGTTTGGAGCATCATTCTGGGATGTTCAGGAAAGTACCTGCTAGGCTGAGGCTGCCAGAGACTGGCATAGAATGTAATAAAGTTCTTGCCTGATGCACTTTAGTCAATATTCGAGAAATTCAGTGTCCAGATGTAGAGAATCTGGCTCTGACAGTCTTGGTAAGTAATATTTGTGACATAACCTTAAAAAGGGAAAAGTACAGTTTGAATTCAAACTTCTGCCCTCAAATTACATGTTTAACTCATTTAACATATCCAATTTCCCAATAACATGGACAACAGCATGTAGAAAATGAGGAAAAACTTTCTTATTATAAGTCAAAAAAATTACCTATATGCCACACACTTTGTGACATATAACATAGTGAACATATGCACGAGTTTTAGCCCCACACTGCCTTGAATTTAACACCATCCTCTGACATTTAGTAGCAGTGTGAATGTGGAGGACTATTTGGTATCTCATGCTTCTCATCTGTAAAGTCTAGATAGTTGCGTATCTGTCATCAAAATCTTGGTCACACAGTGCTTTGCATGTAACTATAATTCAATGTATGAAAGCTGGAATTAAAAATATTATTATTATAATTATTAGTATTATTAAAGCCAAAATTAGCGATAGTCAAAGGACACAGAAGAAAAGACTGATCTACTGACTATATGCAAAGGAGAATTTATCAGGCACTATTAAATAAGTAATCGGCCAGAGAAACTGAGCTGACATCCCCAAGTCAAACAACATGATTTGAAGTAAGAAAGGACCGTCAGCCACGTGGTGAGAAGATCATGATCTTACAGAAGTCTGAATCAATTGCACTACCTTCTGGGCTTCCCAAGGCAGCTAACACATGTACTGAGCTATGAAGCCACATATGACAAGGGCCGCATAATGAGGCCTCTCATGCCAGTAGACAAGTGGGTGTGTCATCAGTTTACTGCAGGGGAAACAACAAATTTTTCATATGTGAAATTCTGTGACAAAGACCTGGAGCTTTTTGAGGAGGCTTTTCCAGGAACTAACTTCTCTATACTTTCCCAAAACAACTGGGTTTCTAATTTAGCCAAGTACAATTTAGATGAGTCTAAACATTGTCCATCTTCCTCCATCAGGGTTTAAACACAATATAAAAAAACTCATCTCAAGTCTCACTACTGTACTATATTTGTGAATTTGTGTAAATAGTGTTAAAATCACCAGATTTAAGCAAAGATTCAGGAAAGCAAGATGATTAACATATGTCAGAATAAATCAGCTCAGTTTAAAAAAAAACTATCTTTTTAACCAGAAAAAAAAAATGAGATATTTACAACCTTAAAAAGATTTGGAGTATTTTATCTACTAAAAGGAACAAACTGAGGTCAGAAATGATCATTTTGAAATTAAAAATAGTTTCTATATAAAAAAATATCATTGAGTGCTTATAGGCAAATGTATGTCTACCTCACCCCTCAAATTCATATTTTAAACCTCAATGCCCAATGTAATGGTATGGGCAGATAGGGCCTTTAGGAAGTGATTAAGGTACTAGTGCCCTTATAAAAGAGCCAGGCGTGGTGGCTCACGCATGTAATCCCAGCACTTTGGGAGGCAGAGGCGGGCGGATCACGAGGTCAGGAGATTGAGACCATCCTGGCTAACACGGTGAAACCCTGTCTCTACTAAAAATACAAAAAATTAGCCAGACGCAGTGGCAGGCGCCTGTAGTTCCAGCTACTCGGGAGGCTGAGGCAGGAGAATGGCGTGAACCCGGGAAGCGGAGCTTGCAGTGAGCAGAGATCTGTAGTTCCAGCTACTCGGGAGGCTGAGGCAGGAGAATGGCGTGAACCCGGGAAGCGGAGCTTGCAGTGAGCGGAGATCGCACCACTACACTCCAGCCTGGGCGACAGAGTGAGACTCTGTCTCAAAAAAAAAAAAAAAAAGAGATACCCAGAGAGGCTCTTTGCTTCTTCTGCCATGTGAAGACACGGCAAAAAGGCTGTCTATAAACCAGGAAGCAAGACCTCATCAGACACTGATTCTGTCAGCACTTTGATCTAGGACTTCCTAGCCTCTAGAACTGTAAGAAATAAATTTCTGTTGTTTATAAGCCTCTCAATTTATTGTACTTTTGTTATTGCAGGCTAAACAAACTAAGAGATTGAGTCAGCCACAAATATGTCATTTATAAATGTTCAGAATATGGCTTAGTCACTACCCTGAGAAAAGAACCAAGTGCTACATTTTTATTAGAACCAAATGCTACATTTCCTGAAATGGATGTTATATTTTTGATACTATTAAGACAGAACTTTCTTCCTTGAAAGGACCACATTGAGGTGAGCAGGCTCTTACACATTTTCCTCTTCAATAGGTCAAAATTTTCTCCTGAAGATGGTATTATAAAGTACAGGAAAGTGGGAGGCCCATTAAATATCTTTGTGTCAGGCACGGTGGCTGACGCCTGTAATCCCAGCACTTTGGGAGGCCAAGGCAGGTGGATCCCTTGAGGTCAGTACTTCGAGACCAGCCTAGCCAACATAGTGAAACCCCATCCCTACCAAAAATACAAAAAAATAGCTGGGCATGGTGGCGGGTGCCTGTAATCCCCAGCTACTCAGGGGGCTGAGGCAGGAGAATCGCTTGAAGCTGGGAGGTAGATTGAATTGAGCCGAGATCACACCACTGCACTCTAGCCTGGGCAACAGAGTGAGACTCTGTCTCAAAAGAAACAAACAAACAAGCAAACATCTTAGGGCCTCAGTTTATCCAGACTGAGGGCCCTTGAAATCAATTAGAATAAATCCTTAGTGAAAGAAATGTGCTTGGTAAATAAACATCTTTAAACATTAAATCCAGCTCGTCTTGGCTGGAGCACACTTGGCTGAATGTTACATGGCAGACGTAAGTGAGGGATCCTCCTTTTTGCACTTGAAGAAAAACTGCAGCCTTGGCAGAAGAAGGCAATGGCATTAGCCATGGCAGAGACAAGAACCAAGATCCAGCCAGGACATACCATATACTTCAGGCCATACTAGCACTGAAATGATTTTGTGAATGTCCCCTTCACACTGTCCTAATGTCAGGTCGGGGTGACCATATAATTTGCTATTCAAACTGGGGCTAGTTTGAAAGTGTAACGAGAAACATGGGGGAACTAGGACTGTCCCAATTATACCGGGACTTCCAAATACCCTAACTTGTAGCAGAGTATTGTAAATGATGAAAGATTTTTGCCTCTGGGGCTGACAGAATTAACCTCTCTCAGCCTGAAAGGAGGAATCCTTTAAGGTTAGCACCCTGGTCTTCAATGCAGATTCCAGGGCTATGGTAGCTCATTCTTCATGAGCAATTTCAACCTAAAAGTAGCGAATTGCAGCCTCAGAAGTGAAACAGTGTGCGAGGTAGAATAACCGGAGAAAGTAAAATGTCCTCGATAATCAGGCCATATGAAGGCTAATGGAGCATTGCTGAGCAGCCTCCATTCTGAGGTCAAACTTGGACCTCCCAGTGGGAAATAGGCAAGGAGTTCCTAAAGAAGTTAGAGAAAAGCAAAAGGCCATATATTCCCCCCTCAAACACCTCTCATGCTGGAAACTGGAAGAAAAACAATACACAAGAAAGGAACTCAAGAAAAATATTTGTGTGTGTGTGTATGTGTGTGTGTACATATGTGTATAGGGACTTGTGTGAGACATGGGTACAAATCTACAATGAAAGACCTAAGAGAATAAAGTGATTCTAGAATTCAGAGGGAGAATTCCACAGTTTTGAAAGAGTGTTTATAAAGAAAAAGAGTAAGTTGGGCTTTGATGGAGGGGTAGCAATTGGGGAATTGTAGGCCATTCCATGTGCTAAACACAACAGAAGCAAGAAGGCCAAAGACTGACTTTGCAGAAGGTTGAATTTCATCTATATACAGAAGAAGCTACAGAGAGGTTTGTAAGGTCACTATGACAGGTGCTGTCATTTTTGGCTGGTACATCAGTCAAACAGACCCTTCCAGACTTCTGTGGCTCCATAACCTGTGTGTCGACACAGTGAGAAAGTATCATCTAAAGGTCTCACCTATAACATTTTTTTTTTTTTGAGACAGAGTCTGGCTCTGTCACCCAGGCTGGAGTGCAGTGGCCCAATCTCGGCTTACTGCAAGCTCTGCCTCCTGGGTTCATGCCATTCTCCTGCCTCACCTCCTGAGTAGCTGGGACTACATGTGCCCACCACCACACCCAGCTAATTTTTTGTATTTTTAGTAGAGACGAGGTTTCACCGTGTTAGCCAGGATGGTCTTGATCTCCTGACCTTGTTATCCGCCTGCCTCGGCCTCTCAAAGTGCTGGGATTACAGGCATGAGCCACCACGCCCAGCCGTAACATTGTTTAATACAAAGTGGTAGACTGCTTACTTTCTGTTAAAGGGATTGGCTGGTAGTGTGAACAATCACTCTCATTATTAATAGAATATATTACCAAAATAGAAGGCCTCAAGACACACCAGAAATAGTAAAAGTACTTGGGATATAGTTTAACCAAATAAAGATTCATGTTCTTAGGCAGAGAAATTACATTTCAAGACATTTTTTGACAAGAGAAAAGGACCCCTGAGGTTGCAGAATTGAGCCTCCGCTTGTATTATAATGTGTTGTATCATGTCAATAACGATACCAGCCATACCTTCCCATCCTGTTTATTCTTCTCAGCATGGGCAGAGTTTGAGGGGTCCCAGGACCTAAGTCCAGCCAATCAGAACCTCTCTCAGGACTTTTATTTCAAAACTACCAAGGAATAGTTTTTGTCCCTCATTAGAGGTTCATAGTACTATAAGCTTATAAATTTAAGTCTGCCATGAGACACCCACCCCAATTCCATGGAGGAAGCTTCTTTGTAGTAGGAAAAAGTGAGTTCAACATGAAAAGATAAGCAGAGATGAAAGATGGGTGGAGAGAAGAAAATAACCCTTTGTTTTTCCCCTTGAGATCCCATTTCCTGCCTTTTTGTCCTTAATTCTCTGAGCTATTCCAGTTGCTTTCCAAATTATGTGGGCCAATGCATCTCTTTTGTTCTTAACCTAACTTAATTTGGGTTTCAACCACTTACACATAAGTGCCTTGAAAAATACAAAAATTTATTTCATGAGACTCTGGATTTGGAGAACGTGCAGACTCTGGGATGATCATTGAAAGGACGTAGAAGATCTTCTAGGTCATCTGCAGGAACTTCTAGCTGGACAATTATAAAATAAAGAAGAGGATATGGACTGCCAGCTGCAGAATTATGAAACTGTGGCTCCTTGCTGTTTCATATTTGCCATGGGGAACTGCAGAGCAGCTGGTAAGTGGAAGAAACCAGACAGAAATCCAGAGTCCAATATACTCCAGCACTACCAATTTCATCCCTGCTGCTGCTTCAGCTGCTCCTATCTCCAAAGAAAATTAAGGACCACACTGAAAATCTGCCTTTCTCTATTCTTCCTCTGTTCTAGGATGCAAAGGACTCCATATTTACAGAGATCTTAGCACAAATTGTTAATGGTTTTATTGGTGGAATAGTCAGAGAAGTGGATAAGGCTTCTCCTCTATAGTCTAGCTAGACCTTTTACCTACATAAATGTTGATCTTCTCAGCAAGAATTAGCCTTTGATACTGTCTACAGGCTCTACAAAAGCTTCCTTTGCA
Organism: Homo sapiens; assembly: GCF_000001405.40. NCBI lineage: Eukaryota > Metazoa > Chordata > Mammalia > Primates > Hominidae > Homo > Homo sapiens. The sequence continues at coordinate 81,804,906 of NC_000010.11, forward strand.
CTCTACTTTTCTTACCTAAAACAAAAGTTTATTTTTGATCTGCAGCCACAGTTATAGAAAGAAACAAGGAAGACCCTTTGTGACAGACTCCATAATCTCTCAATACCTCAAGTGCTTCTGAAATGGTAGTCTCCACTTGCATTGTAGAACTTCAAACCGAGCTGGACTCATCTGGACTTTTTCTGGCCTCTTCACCAAGCCTTATCTAAGGCTATATTTACTGAAAATGATGCCCCTTTGTATTACTGTGGAACTCTGGATGGTGGGATGAAGAAACTGATAGAATAAAGGTAATCAGCTGTTTTATCAAACAAGATTTGAGCAAGTAGACCTAATGACAGACAGTGGCTGCAGTGATATCCACAGTTCTGAAAGCATTATCATTGAGCTGTGTGTGGGAGAAATGTGTAGATAATGCTGAACTTTGATTCTTAGCTTCACTTGGCTGGAAGTCATTGGTCCTGCCATCTCCTAAAGAACTTGTTTTGTTTTGTTTTGTTTTGTTTTGTTTTTGTTTTTGTTTTTGTTTTGAGACAGGGTCTCACTCTGTTACCCAGGTTGGAGGGCAGCAGCATGATCTCGGCTCACTGCAATCTCCACTTCCCAGGCTCAAGCAATTCTCCAGCCTCTGCCTCCTGAGTAGCTGGGACTACAAATGCAAGCAAGCCACCAACACCCGGCTAATTTTTGTATTTATTTGTAAAGATGAGGTTTTACCATGTTGCCCAGGCTGGTCTTGAAGTCCTGAGCTCAAAGCAATCCGCCCGCCTCAGCCTCCCAAAGTACTAGGATTACAGGCGTGAGCCACTGCACCCGGCTTGCTTACTTCTGATTTCTGCTACTCTTGTTCCCTAAGTCATTTGTCAAATTCCATCCTTTGGCCTATCCTGCAGCTTGGAATTCTACCCAAAGACATTTGTAATGGATATATGCTTCAGATATGAAACTGACTTTATGTCACTACCACAGCAAGCCCAAATACATAATCTATCTGGTCCAGGCAAAGGATGCCTCCCCTATACCCAAGACAAGCTTAAAACTCTTTATCGAGATATTAAACCTACTTGAAGTAAAGAACTCCATTTTTTTTCTCTGAGGCCAACTGAGCATTTCACATAGATAGAAGATAAGGAAACTTTTTCTTTACATCGTGATCTCCTCTGACAACTCTGTGAGGACCATATACTTAGAAAATTGGACTATTAGGATGACTACAACTCTCTGTAATCAGGAAGGTGTGAGAAATGGCAAATAAAAATTGATCACCTGAAATGGGGGAATGGAGAGATTCATTTTGACATGTGCATTGCCCCAGTTCTCTTGTGGGGCTTGATAAGGCATTTCCCGATGACCCCCTTGATGACCTGAATGACTGCAATGGGGCACTCTCTCTCAGTTCAACAGTCTCCCAAGACATCCTGAAGTAGGATGCATGCTTGAGACTCCAAAGTGGAATTTCTAAACTTTCCTTTTTCTAATCAAATGGTCTATATGGCTCAAGTTCTAGAGAAAAAAAAAAAAAAAAAAAAAAAAAAACACCAACTCTGGACAAAGTTAACTAGTGATTTTCAACTTATTATCAGTGGCTCAGTTTTATGCCTTCAAAGGCCTGATAATGAGATTGAATTTTGTGTCAGGGTCTTAGAGACCATAAGCAGCAGTGAAAACAAAATTTTATCTCTACACCAACCTTGGCTTATCCAAACTCAGGCCAACATCCCCAAAATGAGACTTGAAGCTATAGCACATCCAGAGGGAGCCATCTTATTACAGAAGATCTGTAGTTCTTAAAAAAATATATCAAAGCCTCTTTCAGCTCTGGTTCTACATGTAAGGAGCTTGAGAGTTGCCATTGTATTTTAATAACAAGTAAAAAGCCAAACTGACTAAAAAATCAAACTCTTCTTGGATCTGTAAAAGGAATGAGGACACAGGGCAAACGGCCACTCTCAAGACTGAAGAAACAAACAGGAAAATACAGGAAATCAGAGCTTACCAAAGCAGAGGCCCACAAGTGGAAACCACCACAGGAAGGAAAAGCTGAACTGTAATTCATGAATCTCAGTGCAGACAAACCTGAGAGTTAAAAACCCTAGGGGGATCCAGGCACAGACGGCCCCCCACAATATTGTGAAATATACCACCAAGAGCTTGACAATGTTCTCACAGTAAACATCAGGGAACAGTCGTCTTGTGCTTCCACAGAGGAAGGAGAAAAAGAATCATTTTGAAATATGCCAAAATATTTTTTCTTAACAAGTCCTGTGCTGTCAGGAAAAACTAGTTAACTAGAGCCTATCCTACTGGGGTAGTATCAAAGCCTAACAGACCAGGGGACAGAAATATCAAATTCCGGTAACTTTTAGACTTCCATGTGTGAGAAAGGAGCTACTCAACTCCAGCCCACTCTAGTCATTCTGTCCCACCTAAAGAAGTAGAAAAAAAAAAAAAAAAGCTGAGAAACACTTCTGAAGTTCACAGTCCAGAGACACAGGCTTACTAAAACACTAAGACCTAATCCTAGAACTAGAGAATGCTTCCCTTCCCCCCACACCCTACCACCACATTACTAAAGGCCTATTTAGGGCAATTCCTTTTACCTGTTAGGTTACATCCAACTATCAGGAAAAAAAATACAAGGAATACCAAAAGACAAAGAACACAATTTAAAGAGACATAGGAAGCATCAGATCCAGACATGACAGGGGTATTGGAATTATTATACTGGATATTTAAAACAATTATGATCAGTATACTAAAGGCACTAAGGGATAAAGCAGACAGCATGCAAGAACAGATTAGCAATGTAAACAGAGAGATGGACATCCTGAGAAAGAACTGAAAAGAAATGCTAGAGATAAAAAACACTGTGACAGAAATAGAGAATGCCTTTGATGGGCTCATTAACAGACTGAACACAGCTGAGGAAGGAATCTCTGATCTTGAGGATATTTCAATAAAAACCTCAAAAACTGAAAAGCAAAGAGAACAAAGACAGAGAGAAACAGAACAGAATATCCAAGGACTGAGCAGCAACTACAAAAGGTGAGACTTATATTTAATGGGAATACCAGAAGAAGAAGAAAAAGAGAAAGAAACAAGAAATATTTGAAATGTAGAATTCCGTACCCTGCAAAATTATCCTTCACAAGTGAAAGAGCAATAAAGACTTCCTCAGACAAACAAAAATTGAGGAAATTATTGACAGTAGATCTGCTTTGTAAGAAATGTTAAAATAAGTTCTTTAGAGGTAAGGAAAATAATATAGGCCAGAAACTGAGATATACAGAAAGGAAAGAAGAACTTCAAGAATGGACTAAGTGATGATAAAATGAAACTTTTTCTTAATTGACCAAAGAGATAACATTTTTTTCAAAATAATAGCAACAATGTATTTGATTATGTATGCTTATGTGCATAGCACATATACATATAACAGATATGTGTTATATGCATGTTAATGCATATATATACGTATGTGTATATATATGTGTGTATATATATGCTTTTCATGCTTCATATAAGTGAGATGAATAAGAGCAATGAAAGAAAAGATGGGAGGGAAGAATTAGGTTTTTAAAATTATTATTATTATAGTCTCGCACTACCTGTGAAATGGCATAGTGTTATTTGAAAATACATTTGGATTCATTGAAAATATATATTGTAAACTTTAGGGCAACCACTAGAAAAAGAAAAAAAGCAATATAACTGATATGCTAACAAAGGAGAAGAAATGGAAACACATAGAATGCCAACTAAAACTACAAAAGGCGGAAAAGGATCAGAAGACAAAAAAAGGAACAAAGAACAAGGACAACAAATAGAAAACAGTACCAAGGATGGCAGACATTAATTCAACTATATCAATAATCACTTTGAATGTCAATGGTCTAAATGCACTATTTAACAGACAGAGTTTGTCAGAATGAATTAACAAATAAGGCCCACTTATGTTATCTACAAGAAACCCTGTTTATATAAAATTACATATAGATTAAAAGTAAATGGAAAAAATACATACCATGTTAACATTAATGAAAAGAAAGCTGGAATATCTATATTTCAGACAGAGGAGACTTCAAAGTATGAAAAGTTATCAAAGATAAAGAAAGGCATTACATAATGATAAAGGGGTCAGCATTCCAGGAAGACATAATAATTCTTAATATGTATGCACCTAACAACAGAGCATTAAACTTCATAAAGAAAAAAATCATAAAACTGTAAGAAGAAATAGATCAATCAACTATCACAGAGACTTTAAGACCCTTTCATCAGAAACAGACAGATACAGGAAGCAGAAGTTCAGAAAGAGCATAGTTGAACTCAACAGCATCATCAACCAACTAGATATAATCAAATTCTATAGAATACTTTATCAAATAACAGCAGGAAACACATTCTTCTCAAACTTATATGGAACATTTACCAAAATAAGACCACATTCAGGGCCATAAAACACATCTTGACAAATATAAAAAAGATAGAAATAATACAATGTCTGTTCTCAGATTACAGTGTAGTTAGACTAAAAATATCAGTAACAGAAAGATAACTGAAATATCCCAAAATACGTGGTAATTAGACAATATACTTCTAAATAACATGTGGGTCAAAAAATAAATCTCAAATATTTAAAAATTTTGAACTAAGTGAAAATGGGTATACAGCTTACCAAAATTTGTAGAATGCAGCAAGACCCATGCTTAGAAGAAAATTTATAGTATTAAATGCATATATTAGAAAAGAAGAAAAATCCAAAATCAACAATCCAGGGTTCCCCCTTAGGAAACTAAAATAATAAGAACAAATTAAACCCAAAATAAGCAGAAGAAAAGGAATAATAAGAATTA